>NC_000008.11:24102526-24405557 GCF_000001405.40 Homo sapiens | reverse complement strand
AGAACTAAGTCACAAATTCATGATCTTTAAAAAAAAAGAAAAAAGAAAAAAAAAAGTAAAAAGAAAGATTAGGCCTAAACAAAGAGCCAATGTCTCTAATTACATCTGTTTACCTGTTTCCTGGACTGATAACAATATAGAAAGTAGAATGACAAGTGAAAGACCATTATGGGTGAAAATTCACAAGATTCCTGGGACAGTTAGAGTTCTTGGTTCTTGTCCTGGCAAGGTAGCATCTCAGTGAAGCAGACTTTTGGATTCACTCTCTGATTGAAGGAAAAATAAAATTTGGAAGCCAGGGTTATTACAAGTTACAAAATATTATGTAATAATGATAATGAAAATGTATAGAATTTAAATTATGTGAATAACAATTCATATTATTTAAGAGACTATACCATTAGCTGTATTTCATGAGTGAAAAAAACTAATTTATCTGGACTTAAAGTCCCACAGCTAGTTTCTGACAGAAAAGACTAGAATTTTAGTTTCCTGAGTCCACCTCCAATTTTCTTCCATGGTATAAATTGCCTATCTTGCACAGTAAGGGGCATGTTCACCTAGGGTTCCAAGCCCTTAAATAGCTGGATGATTTTTTTTCTTTTGTGATGCTATGTTTCTGGCCTGGGCACAGTTTCCAGAATTCCCTGCAGAGTGGATTCATTCCATGATTCATGTAGGCTGTATTAAATGGTGTTTGGTAAATAAACAAGCGTTGGTCCTTATCTTTGACCTTGCCTATCCATTCCCTATGAAATGATAATTGATGGTGCTTGAGTCAATTATTTTCTTTATACTGTCTCTGCAGTTTCAATTCCAGAAAAGAATTGGGAAAGAGGAGTAAAGAAAATGTATCCTGAGTCTTTCCCCTATTTTTTATTTTTCTTGTTGCCATTTTATATTTAGAGGTTATTTTTCACTGAAACAAGTACCATTTTCCAAGTAACTGGGTTCCCTAGCCCAGCTCACATAGGATTGTATAAGACACAGAACTACTACCTGAATTATGGCTCATTGAGACACTTTAAAGGGAGTAAAATTGTCAAATCTTATAGCATGTTCTTAAATGCTATTGATTTTCTGACAGCCTTGCAAATTAAAACTATCAGCTTTTAACCAAGAATAAAATGAGCTCATCAACTGAGGCTGTTTTTAAATACACTTTTCTTTTCTCATTTTGGTTTGTATTAAACTCATCGTTCTCTAACGGGAATTTAAACAGTTTTTGGCATAGATTCCAGCAGCCCTAATCTCACAAATGTCAAAGTAGCTACTTTCTCATGAGTGTTTGTCTACAATCCTTAGTCATGCTCATAATGATTGCTAGTTTTCCTCTCCAAAATTGAGTCGTTTGAAAAATATAAAATACATTGTGTTTTAGTGTATTATGGAACCCAGTGGCATATTTTTCTCAAATCTGAAATAAACGTGAGAAAACGTTTTGGAACAAAGAAAACAAAAGGTCTTACGTGGTATGGTTTGGAGCATCTCCTCCGCAATCAGTTCCAGGCTTCAGTTTACACGTTAGGGCTTCACAGCAGAGATTGGTACACTCCTTCAAAGCACACACACAATGGAAAAAGGTGGGTTCAACATTTTCTTCCCATAGACTAGGTGATAGAATTCTGGCACAAGATGGCAATGAAAGTTTACTTTTTAAGGTAAATTACTCTGATAGGCAAATTCCAGTGAAAATGACCAAGGACATTGAAAAATAGAAAACAAAATATTATCAGCAATGAAGACTTCTCAAAAGGTGAGAAATAGAATTATTCAAGAATTTTTCAAAAATAAATTTTGTCTAGATGTATGATGTGTAAGTCCAAACTAAAAAAAATTGAACATACAGCAGAAAGAAAAATATGAAAATAATTTAGAAAGCCTTTCAAAAGTGCAGGAACTCCATGAAGAACTTTATATATACATTTCCTGAGAAACTTTAAAGGCAACTTGTCTTTTAAGACAATACTTAATATTGTAAAAATATCAGTGCCCTTCAAAGTTAAATATAAATTTAATGCATTTCCATCAAATCTCAATGGTATTTGAGGGCAAATTTGCAGCTAAAACAGTAACGACAAAACAATGAAGAGACTTGACATTAAAACGCATTGTCAAGTTACAATCTTTAAAATAGTGTGATGCCTGGGAGAAATATCTAGACAGAAAGCTTATTTTTAAAATCTAAAAAAAAAACCCTAACTATATACCTAGGAATAATAAACTGGGATATCAGATCTATGAGAAATTGGATTACTCAATAAACAATACTGTATGAAGTATACATACTACTTTTTGGAAAAGAAAACAGTTATTTAGAAATTCAGTTGTTCCTAAGCCTGAACTCTCTGGTTTTATTCAATTACATAAGAAAAAAATCAACAAGATATGAAAATAATACAAGAGTTGACTGACATAATTCAAGAATTTTAGATGTTACATATTGTGTATACAATGGTCCTCTCTTGGCCTCTTCCTTCATCCTTTCCCCCTTTCTTCTCTGTAAATACATACCATTTACTTGCTGAAACCAGAAGTACCTAGGGTTTTGAGTATCTTCAATTGTCTTCCACCCAAGAAACCATAGATGAATGTAAGCAAGTAAGAACGAGATAAACGTAACTCTAATTTGCTATAAAATGTCAAATCTTTTGTAAAATTCCATGCCTCTTTATAATTAACAGAAAGTTTACAATATTCTTCACAAATGACTAAGTTAGGCTGTGTAGTCTTCTGATCTAATCTAACCAGCTAAAATTTCTGAATACATAAACTGAAGCATAGAGAGTTTAGACGCCATGTTCATTGTCACAGAGCCATCTTAAGTAATGGATACTTCTTGGACTGCATCCTGCTTCACCAGTGGAGCAACAGAATATCTTTTAGAAGGCAATGGGATTGCTAGTGATCAGCATTCTTTAGAGTACATAAATGCCTTGAAGGAGTCTAATTTATATAAATTAGCAGAATCATAGTGCTTATTCTGGATGTTCTATGTTAATAGCCTATTTTCTACAGATTTTTGTGATTATTTTTTCTTTTCCTCTTTCTTCTCTGTTTACAACCTGGTTTATACACTGGCTTGATGAGAAAAGACCAACTCTCCCTCTGAGTAGAACTTACTTCTAGATCTCTAATTGTTACTGTTCAACAGATGATCAACTGTGACATTATGTCGTCTAGGGATTTCTGACTAATACACGTTTTGGAAAGATTGCAAGTGACATGTTATAGTTAACAATTTACTTTTTTACATTTAACTTCATATAATTATGTCAAAATCAAGTCCTAGTTTTTGAAATGCCTTTCAAAGGATTACTAAATTCAGTAGCAAAAACACAAGCACAAATCTCCTTTTTAACTACGATGCCAAGTTTGTCTTTAGAAAGAATTTCCAAAAGAATATTGGAAAACAAAAAGAAAACTGCATAATTCTTCTGCCCCAATAATTCTAATAAATAATACCTTAGGAGAGCCACAATCACAGTCTTCTCCCACTTCTAGAAGGTGGTTCCCACACACTGGTGTTGTCATTATATTTGTAGGAATAGGTGCTTGCAGCAGGCACTTTGGTTTCTGAGATAAAAGGTATCTTTCAAAATGTGCACGGCAAGATGTACTGAAATCCTTTGGGAATTTTGAACTGTAATCAGAAGAAAACTCAAATAATATGATATACAGTGTGGTGCCTTCTGCGTGAAACACAGAATAAAGATAAAGAAACACGAGACTCTGATTTATCTAACTGTATTACCGAGCTCAATGGAAATTCCAAATTTGGCAACCATTTAGGACTGCCCTGTATTAAATGTGGTGGGTGGTAGAGCATGCATACTATGGTATTTGGACATTTTTCTTCCTAGAGCCTAAGTCACAGAGCTGGAAGGATTTCAATTTCCATGTGGCCATTTAATGTTGTTCTAAAGGACAGCAGTGACAGCCATCACCATTTGTAATTATCCACTCATTTTGCATTGAGAATTGAGGGGCAAGAGATAATAATAATGAACCAGTGAAGGGAAGTAGTTGCAGGCTTCTGGGCTTTATGGAAATATTTCTCTCCTTCTTTGTGAGCATTTCAAGAACAAAGTATGTTTTATTTATTTTTCTATCCCAAAGTCTTTGCAAAGTGCCTGGCATTCACAGGTAATTCATAAATATGCAAAAACAGATTGATTGGTTGATTGATGATGGGAATATAAGAAGATCCTGTCATCAACATAATGAGATTAATATTTTTAGAAACTATGGGTTCATTTTCAGTTGGAATTATTTTAAGTTAAAATTATAAGGTCATCATACGTGCAAGCTCTATCTTGGCATATTTGGAAATCTTAAAGAATGAGCCCTGGTAGTTTTTAAAATTTGTGCATCAAGAGACTGGAAGTTGAATTAATGGGATACACAACCCTTGGGAAAAGATATGTCCATTCAACATCTGTAGACTGCTTCCGAATTCTTAAAGATTTGGAAAACTACTCATAATAGCAAAGACTTGGAACCAACCCAAATGTCCAACAATGATAGACTGGATTAAGAAAATGTGGCATATATACACCATGGAATACTATGCAGCCATAAAAAAATGATGAGTTCATGTCCTTTGTAGGGACATGGATGAAGCTGGAAACCATCAATCTGAGCAAACTATCGTGAGGACAAAAAACCAAACACCGCATTTTCTTACTCATAGGTGGGAATTGAACAATGAGAACACTTGGACACAGGAAGGGGAACATCACACACTGGGGCCTGTTGTGGGTGGGGGGAGGGGGAGGGATAGCATTAGGAGATATACCTAATGCTAAATGACTAGTTAATGGGTGCAGCACACCAACATGGCACATGTATACATATGTAACAAACCTGCAGGTTGTGCACATGTACCCTAGAACTTAAAGTATAATATATATATATATATATATGAAAAGAAACATTCATTGCAAGTGTCCCTAAACATAATTTACTTGTAAAATAGCACTTTTGATGTCTTTATGAAACATATATCAGCAGATTACTGTAATCCAAGACTAGGTTAAGAATGTAATATGTTACCCTACACGTTTTAAGATTGTTTTTTGGGTAACACTTTCAATCTATCCTGTTGATTAGTATGTATTTTATAAACAATTTTAAAATCTGTTTTGGAACAACACAAGATCTAATATTTAATTAAACAATAGAGAATAATATGTGTCTTCAGAAAAAAAAAAGATTTGGAAAATATCTCTCTCCTTTTAGGATGACAAGGTCTCACCTCAGATACTGATTCATCACACAACTGCCAGAGGGACACTTGGTGTTGAATGGAACATCAGGCATACCAAGGACATGGCCCAGCTCATGTGACATCACTCCTACAAGAGCCACATTATTCTTTTTTTTAGCCTGGAAAAAGTAGATATATTTATTTATTCTTTTTTTATTTAATTGTTGCCAATGTGCAGTACTTTAAAAATGGCTTAAGAGATGAAAACTAGTGAATTGTTAGCTCCTTTCCCTGTCACTGTGTATTGCAAAACGTTGAAAGAGCATTTAAAGTGGTTGGGTCCTATGAATACTTACATTTTATTCAATAAATATTTGTTGAACTAATGGATACTAAGTTACCAGTAAATCATGGTTGAATTAATTACATTCTTCATAGGAAGTACTCATAGGCACCATATCGGAGGTCTCCAAAACCTATTGCTATGATACCTATGACACTGGAGTTCTTGGCCATATGACACCTGCATGCACCCTTCTTCCTTGTCTGGCCTCTCTGGCCATAGATACTGGGGATGACTAGTATTAGCCCAGGCCACAGAGGGTACTGGATGCCCTTTCTGCTCCAATATTCCTACTCTGATTTTCTAACATGAACTAAAGAATGATATGGCACGTTCTAGCAAGGCTGATGTAAGGAAATGTTCTGTCGCATAACCCAAGGGATCTTCAGTGCAATGACCTACCAGTAGTTTCATTTCTTCCTTGATTCATTGATTCAGCAAATGTTCATTTTGCTCATTCTATATAAGGTGTTATGCTGGCCTTCATAGAGGATACAGAACCACAGAGAGCCTTACTACAAATTTACAAACCTCAATAACAGCAACCGAAGATGGGGAACACAAGGAATTTGAAGCTGCCAGTCCCACACGTCGATTGTTGAAGCTAATCCCGCTGTATGAAAAGTTACAGATACTACTGTCACAATCTGAGTCTTTGTAACCATTAGCTTTTGTTAATTACATTAACGAATTGCCTCGCTGCCCTAGCCTTTTTATATTCACTAGGCCCCAAAAAACTTCTACTATTCCTTAGTGTTATGACCACAGATGGTTATCTTATATCCAAGAGCTCATTCTATCATCTGATTATTGATCCAATAATGTCACAGGTGAATTGCTAGTGGTAAAATGTCAAGCACTCTGACAGTTGATCAGGGAAATATTACAGAGTGGAAATCCCTGCTAAGGAACCCTGGGGATAGCTATCCATTCTGCCTACATTCACCTGGCCAGCATGTGCTCACCTGAGAAGCTGAGCATGGTCGTGGATCTTTTTCCCCAGGTTAGAACTGTGCCATCTCAGGAAGTTGTCAAACGTGGTGCTTGCGCTGGGCACCACCTTTATCTTATCCCCATCAGACCAGATTTCCATACCTACCAAGGCCACTTGAACATCTATGGTGTTATATATCTGTGGAAAGAGCATTTATCTTCATAAAAATGTTCAGGATTCCTTTCGTGTCTGAGAGCTTTTGTTGACCACAAGTAATAGATAAAGTGATGGACTACAAGTAATGAATTTCCATTTTGAAAGTAAAAATTTTAAAAGTTGTCTTTGTTGCCATGCATGTGATTTCACCTTGATGTTGATGCTTGTTCTGCTAAAATTTCCCTGAACTATTTAACTTAAGACATTTGGGATCTTTTTAACTTCTTGTTGGTGAAATCTTAGGGAAGTTCCAGGCAGAACTTCCCTATGCAGAAACATGAGGTTTACATGACTAATGTCTTACCACATTGAGTAGGTTCATCACATCAAACACAAAGCTTCTTATCAGAGTTAGATTCTCATTATAGTTCTTATACTGTAAAATACAAAACACAAAGTATAGTGAAATAGCAGATTACACTGAGAAAGCTGATGGCATACAAGATTTCACATTTTAAGAAAAATTATGAATTTCACTACAATTAACATCTATTCATTCCATAATTAAATAATGTAAGACTGCATTGTGGCAAATTCTATTTCAAATGTTAGGAGTTTTTTGATAAAAGTTAGACATTCATGTAAAATTTTAGTGTTCTTCATTTTAAAGTTGAATACATCAAATTAACAATTTTTAGGTTTTTAAACCGAATCATGTGATTAAAATTTGATTACAAAACAATATTTACTAGATAGAAATGTAGATTCTAGTATTTTCCTCTGTATCTATCAATATAGTTTCTAAGTTATATAGAGTTTTGTGTTGATTTTATATTGATATAATATTTATATTAAATATATTTAATTTTATATTAAGATATAAAGTATTGCAATATTTTAATAATGCGTTCCTTTTATTTTTCTTTTTTGGTTGATTGCCTGTAGCTATCTGGTATTAAGTATATTGCCAATACTAAATATTTTGGTGGCAGATGGATATTAAAGGGTATGAGGAGATAACTATTGCTGGCAAGGCATGTAAACAGCCAAGACACCCAGGTGGACAAATGCCCCATGATTAGCTAAAATAGTTTATTGCTTGCTTTTGCTTGATAAGTAAACTTAAAGGGTGACTGAACTGGCCGAGAGGGCCGTGTGTTTCATACTCACAAAGGCATTATCCAGCACCAAATAGAGATCAATGTATTTCTGTGCCCGAAGAAAGTCTTCTTTCTTTACAAAGAATAAAAGAACATTGTTAATCATTATCTTTATCCTAAAAGATTCCAAAGCTTAAAAGGAGACTTGTTTTCCTAAAATAGAAGATAAATAGAAAAATAAGTAAATAAATTATAGGCTTGACACATACACATACTACTCATTTCTAAGAATAGTAGTATATTGCCTATCTTTGCTGAGACAATTGAAGTAAATGATGAGGTAAGGGAATTGTATTCACCTCTGGGCTTTTGAGTGATCTAGAGATTCGAATTGGGCCTTGTTTCCCGTCAGTGCTCTTCACACCACATGTGTGGTTAGCTGGGTCTTGTTCCTCCTGGTTAGATGTAAAGACGGCATGTTCTTTCTCGTCTGTGCTTTTCAGAGGTTTTATCTGGTATCTTTGGTGATGATGTGTGAAGTATCCTCTGGGAGATATAGAGACTTATATTTCAGGATTCCTGACACACAGTGTCATATTTGCTTCCAAGAATGGATTGATGTCTGCCCCTCCATCCCAATTTCACACATAGCCTTGTCATTCATAGACCTTTCAGCTAACTTCTGGTAATGTAAGTTAGAATCACTATTTGTCGATATAAAATGAAGCCTAACTTATTTACCAAGAGAATTCTGAACAAGAATTATAAAGATGAAGCAACCCCAAAGAATTTGGAATTTGCACCGTGGTAAATATTTTTCCATAGTTTATTGATTCATTTAACAAATATTTCATGGCAGATCCTAGGACTATAATGGAAAATGGAGTAAGGGAATGTTTAGATAGCAAGAACCCCAGAGGGGAACATGAATGATCAGCAGGCCAACCAGAGTAACACGTTGGGATTAGAAGTAGCTTAAAGAATCCCTCTTTCTATAATCACAATAGTATGATAATTAGTTCATAAATAGAAGGTGAATCCATATAATAAAATATTACAATCCAACTTAACTGTTCAAAATTATATCCCTGAAGGTATTTTATGATATGTGAAGAACTTGTCGTGTGTGTTATCAGCCATGTTGGAAGAACAATGTGGTTTTTTTTTTATTTCAATGCTGTGAAAGATACATTTGTCTATATGTGCACATAAGGGTGCAAACATGACAAAATGTTAATAACAGTGATTACTCAGAGGTCAACTTTTGTGGTAGTTGTTACCTTCTTTTTCTTTTTTTTTGTTTTGAGACGGAGTCTCGCTCTGTCGCCCAAGCTAGAGTGCAGTGGAGCTATCTTGGCTCATTGCAAGCTCCGCCTCCTGGGTTCATGCCATTCTCCTGCCTCAGCCTCCGGAGTAGCTGGGACTACAGGCGCCAGCCACCACACTCGGCTATTTTTTTTTGTATTTTTAGTAGAGATGGGGTTTCACCGTGTTAGCCAGGATGGTCTCAATCTTCTGACCTCCTGATCTGCCCGCCTCGCCCTCCCAAAGTGCTGGGATTACAGGCGTGAGCCACCGCACCCGGCCTGTTATTTTCTTATTTGTGCTTTTTCTTACTTTCCAAACTTTCTCTCATTGGCAATAATTATCTACGTAAACAGAAACACATATAATTCTAAAATTAAGTTCAACTGTGACCATTGCAGGGAAGAATGTTTTAGAAAACAGGAAGTAACTGTTTCAGAGAGTAGGTTGGATAAACACAGAAGTGGATCCAGATATCATCAAGGTCCAGAGTGTAGCATTCTTGTTTTACATTGCTAGGCCTGACTTCTCCTAGAGCAGCAGATTATGAAATGATTGTCAGGGTAATACTTTGTTCTTCACTTTAACCACATATATTCAGCATTTCAGCAATGAAAAATTTACCAAAATAGTAAGAAGACAATATCTAGTAGCCCTTAATTCTGTGTAACAAAAAGCTTCTTGATCTTGAGTAATTTTGATGGTAGTTCTTACCTCAACCCGTCACAAGTACTGATGCTGGCAACAGAATTCTTTTCATTTAGGATGTTTCCTTTATAGTAACAGTGTTCCTGGAGTGGAAAAAAGAAATTATGCTTCAGAAATGTGTGTGTGTGTGTGTATGTGAGTGTGTGTGTAATGTATAAACTATGAGAATACATGTATCACAGTTGTGAGGAAAGCTACCATCTTGAATATGTAAAAATTCTTCAAGTAGTGACTGTGGCCAGACCAATCCTCAGAAACACAAACAGCAAGAACCTCAGAGGTTTTCAGAATTGCTTCACTGGAAACTCTCTATATTTGGTGGCTGAACTGTTTTTCTGACATTAATTTACACTAAGGAGGAGTCCAGGGAAGTTAAACCTAGGTGGGCTCATAGTGAAAGTGGATGCTTTCTCTGAGAAGTAGCCAGTCCTCTTGGGATGTACAGTACTCCCAGTGGGTCCTCAGGTTTGGGGGTCAGTGCTCAAGAATTTGGCTTCACTGTGCTGAGTGCCAAAGGCACTGTGCATTACAAATAAGTAAAATGAGACATCTATTTTTCTAGACTGGGGAATCCCAGATATTTCACACTATCACTCCTGAGCTCCTCAGACTAACTGATTTAATCACTGTTTTAATTGGTCTGTTAGTGGAATCCCTTTATCAGCCTCAAAGACACAAAATTATTTGTCTACAATTAGAGATTCAGACATGATTGTTGGCCCACATCAGCAAAGTTAAGGGGCCACTTACGTGGAGTGATCTAAAAAAGGTAGTGAAAAAACTCCAGTGCAAAATAAATTGACCTGCCTCAGGTTATGAAATTCCATCTATGGTCTTTTCTCCCTTTTTGGAAGAGATATCGTCAACATAAACATTTTCTCATAGAAGACTTGAGAAGATTCCTCATTAATGTATCATCAGCTATTAACAATTGAGCATAAATTAATTTATCAGACACTGTCCGCTGAAGATAGTGTTAGCAAAAATTCAGATGTTCATGAAATAAGTTTTAATGAGCATGGGGAACAAAGAACCATTCTGTGGCAGAAGTCTTTTTTTTTATATAGAGAAATGCAGGTTTAGGGTACCTTGTAGGATGGCTCTGAGAAGCTGTCTTAGCCTGGGAACATGAACATCTCTTGATTGAGATTTATTGTATTCTCTTCATGATATTCTATGCCATGATTCTTAATGTCTGACATTTGGCCCTGGTATTGTCTACGGGATGATGATTTAATCAGATATAAAAATATTAATTATTGATATTTCATTGCTGACCTCAGGATAAATGCATGTATCTCCAAAAAATAGTAAATAGTGACAAGAGGTTTTAAGTACGTATAGAGAAGAACTTTTCTAACCTATGGATAAAATGGTCTAGGGAGAAGTGGACTTTTGGTTGCTTCCAAAAATGTGACACTTGGAAGCTTTCTGCTGCTCCTATGTTTTAAAAGCTGAATGTGATTTTCCAAACTGTTGTCTCATTGATCATAGATAAGCAACTTGCTTTCAAGTCCTTTGATTATTTTTTGAAGCTGTTCATGGACCTATGAATTTTATAAAATAATTGAGCCCTTTGGAGATCTTAGTTAACATTAGCACAAACTAATAACATCTAAAACTCAAAAGAGACCCACAAAGTATTCGGACCCTACCATGTTCTCAGGTTTCGTGGTAATTTCCTCTCCTCTGGGTGAGTACAATGTTTCAGTGTAGTCTGGCCCCAGGAGGTGCCTGTAGAGAGCAGAGAGCTGCATGGACCACTCAGGATGGTAAGAAAGGCAGAACTTCCTGAACTTCAGCACTAAAATAGTGATAGTGTCTACAATGATAAATAGCTAAGGTTCTGACCTACTAATCCTCTTCCAACATTGGAGCTCTGTTGCTGAAGCAAATCAGAGAGTTGGTTCTTCCTATTAAATCCGAGGGAGGAAGTCCCCTCATCTTCTTCCCATCTGCAGATCCCTATCTTCAAATTAGTAATTTTGAGATTTCTTGCACCAAGGACACAACCTCCACAGAACCTTTGAAGGGTGCTGGGTCACAAATATGCTTATAGGCCCATTGCATTCAGGGAGAAGTTTATTAACTGCTATAGAACTAGGAGGAACCCCATCCCCTGGAATCTATCTCTAGGCCATGCATTTTGAATCAGCCTTGGACACATATTCTCATAAAAGAATGGAAAGCTGCATCAAAGTCTTGAGTTTATCTGAGTAGAAAAAGAAGTTCACTAAGTTCCCAGGTCAAGGAAGAAAGTCATTTATATATGCCATTCCTTTTGTTTTACATTTTGTATATAATTTCCTAGGAAATCAGCCTTTTTAGCACAAACTAGTATCATCTAAAGCTCAAAATGCCTCATGTCTTCTATGTCAAACCACACTAAATGGAGCCTCAAAAAGATTGCTCCCCAATTTCATAACCTAATCCAGTGATTAGACTTTTAGGAGGTACAACTTACTTGGTTTTTTGTAGGGAGAGAATGATTTCTTCTCCATTTAAGATCATCTGATATTGAACTTCAGGTTCATACCTTTCCTGAAAACATTTAATTACATCAAGCAATTTATATTTCTGAGCATAACTAAAATAATTATATATGTAGTATGTATTAGAAGAACAATTACAAATGCATATAGGATAAAAGCAATTCTTTTGTGTTTTTAAAATATGTAAGACAAAACAAATTATGCACTAACATGGACTTCCAAAAAGTACAATTATGTGATAATAACACTTATAGATTAAACTAGCTTTAATATGTGAGATAGGGACTTCTCATTTGCCCTAATGTACAGTATACTGTCTCAGGATCAGCCAGGGAATCAAAACAAGGTGTGTATTTTTCTTACTTTAAAACCAAACTAAATACATTAAATTAAATACTAAAAAAAAAAAAAAAAAAAAAAAAAACCTCTCAACCCACTAAGAATTAGGTAACAATTACAAAATGAGGGAAATACTTGCAACAATGTAATAGTCAAAGAATTGGTATCTTTAATCAGTAATAAAATATTATGTTAACTACTGATATAAAATTTAATTTTTCACTATTGACAAAATGGCTGAGGAAAAAGACAATTCACTGGAGAAAAGGGGTGGTGAGGCTTGCCAGGAACAACATCTCCGTTAAAGATGGCCGACCTTCCCGGGCTTCTCTCCTCACTCTCAAACTTAAGAGAAATGTCTAAGCAGCTTTATCCTTTCTTATCAAGTGAGGCTGTTGACTCTCTGCTGCTTAACCATAGCAGCATTCTGAGAAATTGTGAGCTGTCTCCTGAACAAAGGGGAGTTGTATACATGGGCTTCAATATGAAACTATTACATAGTAACTGTAACATCACTTCTGTTAGTGAAAAGGCTTTTTATTGTCTCTTTGGATGATTGTAACATCTACCACGGTCATTCACCTTGCTTACCTCTTTGCCATGCTTTTCTGTCTGGTTGTTCTTGATCTCTCTTTTGTGTAAAATGTGAAGTTTTTTAGGACAAACTATTTCATGGAGCGTTAATTCAGGTGTTTGCTTTATGGCTATTGCTAGAGAAAGAGAAATAATATTCACATAAAAGATTTAAAGGTTTTGGTTTTAGTCGTGTTGTGTTTTGTTTTCATTTCTTGGGTTGCTGAAAGAGCAGTGAAGACTACATTCCTATGTAGAGAGCAAACATTATGAATAACAAGTTAATTGTCGTTCTTCAGCTTTGATGACAAGGATTTTTTTTTTTTGCTCTCCCTCCCACTATTCTGAAAAGACATGAAGATTATAAAACAATTCTTTAGATGATCTCTCAGTGTATGCAAACTCTGGACCACCATGCCCAGAAAGGACAGGTTATGGATTAAGAACAGGGGTTGTGTGAGCCTAGAATTCTACCTGTAGTAATCCATTTCCTTATTGCTTTAGAGTCTTCTTAAAAATTGTGAATTTTTCTCTCTATGCCCTCCAAGACTTTTTCTTTTTTATACCCTTTTCCCTCTGAAGCACAACCCCTGATTATATACTCTAAAGATAAAGTTTTTCATTTGTGTATAATCATTTACTTTTAGGAAAGACTCTACTAGCAGTAATTTTATTCCTCAGTGTGTCAATAAGCCATGATGCTTTTTCTCAGCATTTTCCCCCAAGACTTTAGATTTCAAAGAAATAAAGTTTTTGTTGGCCTCTCTTTGAAAGTTTTAAAGCCTCAGAGAGGAAGTAGGAAGATTGTTTATGGACACAATGTTCTTGATGTACTTGAAATTACATTGCATAGACAGATTTTCATTGTTTACAAATAGTAGAAAAGAAATTATCTTGGAGCCAAAAGATGTGGTCTTATGCCCTAGCTAAATAACCTCGTAGAAGTAACTTCAGCTTTGTACCAGATTATTATCTAAGGTATAGGTTAGTGTAAAACTTGAATAAGATAAAATATATAAAATTATTTAGTACCCTATTAGGAAGATGGCAGCATACTTTTTCTATTTTTTCTTTTAATTATTCAATCATTCATACAAGGTCAGTCTTATTTCTGAATGCTCACATTTTCATACATAAGTATCTGTGCTTAGAGACAGTTTTCCACTCAGTATGACAGAGTGATCTTAGGGAAAACAGGAGATTTTATACCTGGCTGATACGGAAAATGAAAGGAAATTACAAAGCAAGAATTCCCTCCTAGTCAGCTCCCAAAGTTCTGCTGTAATGCTGTCCTGAGAAGGATTCATCACATACTAAAACAGGAAATCTAGAAATGTATGAGTAAATGATCTTTTATTAAAAGAGAATATGAGTCCATTAGTGGAAAAAGCCATGCGCTTGGAATGAGAATGAATTTTAATAATGTCTAGTCCCAACGTTAGCACTAATCATGCAATTTTGGAAGAGCCCTCAAAATATCTGTTTTCCTACCTCACTTCTTGTTCTGTCTACCTTATTTGGCTTTGGGGAAACTTTATAAGAGTAGATTACAATGTGATTTAGCCAAAAACCTTCGCAAGATATATAAAGTAAAAAACAAATAAAAAAAAAATAAAACCAAATCCAACAGTGTTGTTTTTGTTATTGTTGTTTTGTTTTGTTTTGTTTTGTTTTGTTTTGAGACAGAGTCTCGCTCTGTCACCCAGGCTGGAGTACAGTGGCCCGATCTTGACTCACTGCAACCTCTGCCTCCCAGGTTCAAACGATTCTCCTGCCTCAACCTCCTGAGTAGCTGGGATTACAGTTGCGTACCACCACACCTGGCTAATTTTTGTATTTTTAGTAGAGACAGGATTTCACCATGTTGGTCAGGCTGGTCTCGAACTCCTGAACTTGTGATCCACTGCGTCAGCCTCCTAAAGTGCTGGGATTACAGGCATGAGCCATTGTGCCCATCCCAACAGTGTCTTTTTAATGACTATCAAAATGATAGTCAAACAAGGTTGAGTGAAATTTCAACCTCTTAATACTCAAAAATGTATTTTAAAAATGGAGACATTGGGTCAATATTATACTCTTATTTTAACTATGATGTCTCAAATCACTACATTTGATTTTTCACATAGAAGAAAAAATAATGTAAACGTATTACATTCTTTTCTAGACAGTAAGCAACTTACCTTCTCTGATATTTCTTTTATGTGAAAACTGAAATATTCATTTCACAAATATTTATTGAATGCTGACTTTAGGCCACGCACAGTTTGAGGCTGTCAGGTTAAATAAAATAATAGAATAGACATTGATCCATGCTCTTATAAAATTTACATTCTATTGGGAAATGATATTATATTATGTATGTTTATACATATGAAGCATACATTATGAAAAATTATTTACAGGTTGGAAGATGATAAGTACTATGGTGATGAAATATATCAGAGTAAAGGAGATTGTGAATGCTGGATTAGAGGTGAGTGTTGCAATTTTCAATAGGGAAGTAATGATAGTCACATCAAGATGATCACTTTTAAGCCAAGACTTCAGGAAGATGCGGGACTGAACCATATTGTTCTTTAGGAACAAAGAGTTCCGGATAGAGGAAACAGCTAGTAATAAGGTTTTAATGTGAGATCCTGGATAGAGAGTGCATTTAAGAAACCACAGGGATCTAGCTGGAATGGAATGAGAAGAGTGAATAATAGAATATGCAAGTAGGTTGGTTATGGAAATGAATAGATTGTGCAAGACCTGATAGAAAATTTGGCTTTTACTCTGTGTGAAATGGGGGCCACTGGAGAGTTCGGAGTAGAGAAGTAACATAATCTGACTTTTGTTTAATAAGATTGCCCTGTCTGATCTGTCAAGAGTATCCTGCAGAGAGGCAAGTGTAGAATCAGAGAGCTCATTTAGGAGGATATTGCAGTAATGTAAGACAGAGGTGGTGGTGACTTAGATGAAAGTGGTATCAGTGGAAGCAGTGAGGTGTGGTCAAATATTGGATATATTTTGAAGGTGAAATCAATAGAATTGGTGAAGGATTGGATATAGAACATGAGAGAAAGAGAGGAATCAAGGATGACTAGATATTTTTGCCTTGAGCAAACAGAATTGCCATTGACAGACTTGAGGAAAGGTGAAGGAAGAACAGATATGTGGGAAAGGTTCTGGGTATATTGTTTTGAGATGTCTACTAGGCATCTGTAGAGGCCAAAGCAACTCCATCTTGGATGCTAATCTGGCAAGTTGGCTTCTGATTAATCCCTGTTCTGGGATCCCTCTAAGATTTCCAGTGTATCCATTTTTCCTTGTGTAAGAGCAGGTACTTCTCATAAATCTTGCCCTTGGGTCAAACAACTGTAATGCTATCATACCTCAATTGTCCCGTACATCCCTTCTGAACCACCCCTCACCTACAGTATAAAGGCCCTGGATCTGGAGAGTAATGGAATAGGGATCCACCATCTGTCTTGTCTTGTCACCACTCAGGACATAGACATGGCTTCTCTTTGTAAGTCCTTATTAAAACTTGCTTTCTAAGAAACTGGATCTTTTAGCCTCTTTCTTTGGCATCTCAGCTTCCTTGGGCTTTGGGGCAGATTTGCGTAGACCTGCCCACCATGAAACAGCATCTAAGTGGATTTGTTGGAAATAAAGTGTACATTTTAGTGTGGAAGCAAAAAGATGGGAGTTGTCCTCTTGTGGATGGTACTTAAAGCTAAAGATTAGATAAATCACCAAATAACTGAATGCTGCTACAAAAGAAAAGAGTATCAAGCACTGAGCCCTGGGCTATTCCAACATTAGGAAATTGAGAAGAGGAGGAACCAGTAAAGGAGGCCAGTGTGAGGTAGGAGTTCACCAAATGAAATGGTGTGTTTCATGCCATGGAAAAGGAAAGAGAGAGGAAGGCAGAGAAAGAAAGAGAGGAAAAACATGAGAATATGATGCCCCCAAAATGACCACTGGATTTAACATCCTTGAAGCCGTAAGAGCAGTCTTGGTGGAGTGTTGGAGATGAAAACTCTGTAGAAGTAGGATAGAAGAGAATGGGATGAGACTAACTAGAGAGAAAGTGTATAGACAGTACGTTTGAAGATTTTTTTATGCAAAAGGGAATGCTGGGGATTGGTCAGAGTGGTGGGAAAAACTATAGGGAAAGGACGCAAACCTACTGAAAGTTCTCAAGGTTCTGCAGAGCCTCGGGGAAGAATAACTGAAGGCAGCTATTCTATAACCCTGAGGCAGAGGGCAAGAAGTAGGTACCAGGGAGTGTAGGGGAATTTATCTTAAACAGGCTCATCTACTTATGTTGACCTGGAACTGACCTTTGATCATCCGCACACCTGACGTTCCCTGAAAGGGGAACAATAAATGTTAATTACCTACAGTTTGTTTTTGCTCCAGGTTTTTGGCATTGTGCTTGCACTGAATAAAAGCAAGCAGCTCCAGCTTCTCCGGGCTGCTCTTTGGACACCAGAGCCAGGCAGTCACCTAGCTGCTCTTACAGTGCATACCTGTGTCTGAATGGTCATTTCATCCATCTGCCAGCGTCTGCAGGACAGAGCCAGCAGGTGGTGCCCTGTGTGAGGAATGCTGCAACAGATTGTGACAAAACCCTCGAGAATGAAAGTGAAGTGACTGCGCAGTAAGTAATTGGTGCCTGCTGGGGATTTCCAAGTTTGAGGGGATTTTCAAGCTAGGGTTTTGTCATGGGACAACAGTTAACAGCTCAACAGCAACAGTATATAAAAGTATTGAAACAGCTGCTTAAAGCTAGCAGAGCCTGTGTCTCAGAGGTGCAATTAAGGGACCTTATGCAAACTGTTGTTTTCTATAACCCATGGTTCCCAGAAGAAGGCTTGCCAAACCTAGAGCTCTGGGAACAAGTGGGGAGAAATCTTAACATCATGCACAAGGGCAACGGGTCCCAGTAACATCTTTAACGTTATGGGCCTTAGTCAGGGCTGCTTTGTCCCCACTCTACACAGAAGAGCCTAAAAAGGGAAGGGAGGAAGAACCATCATCTACCTTACCACCTCCTCCTTCTCCCTCAGCCCCGCCGTTACCGAGTAAAGGTGCCACAGAGGAGACAAATATTTTCCCTGAGCCCTCTCTCCCAATATATTGGAAAAAATACAAGGGATACACTACTGTTATGGGACCCTGTCTTAGTCAAGTGGAATTAGAAGGGAGCTCTTGACCTGCCCAGTGATGCAAGATCAACAAGACAATCAGGTACGTGAACTCATTGCTTTCAACACTTCTAAAGAAATAAGAAAAAGCATTAGAGAAAACAGAGCCACTAGCCCATTTATGAAAGGATTAACTGAGGCCATAGCAGACAACTTCCATATGACCCCATGGGACTGGTCAGTGCTAGCTAAAACAACTTTAGAGACCAGTAAATACCCCCTCTGGTGAACAGAATATGATGAGTTGTGGGAACAACAAGCCAACCAGAATCAATTGGCCTGGCAAAACATAACAGCTGCTCTCTGGCCACTAGGGCCAGGCAGCTCTAGCTAGCTGCTCTTACACTGCATACCTGTGTCTGAGTACTCACTTCATCGGTCAGCCAGGGTCTGCGGGACAGACCCGGCAGGAGAGAGAAAATTTAGGATGTTAATTGGCAGAAGAGAAAGAAAAAGGATATTCATTTTAAGTTGGGATAATTTTTATATGCTGATGGGAATGATTCCATAGAGAATATGGAATAGATACAGTAGGAAGGAGGGAAAATGTTAGGTCAATGTCCTTGTATGAGAAGGGATAAGATCTAGAAGACAAATGGAGGTGTTAAGCCAGCACAGATAGGTCAGATAGAGGAGCAGAAGGTAAGGCTGATCATATAGGGACAAGGAGCAGTAGATTGGTGAATATGGCAGAACGCCAAGTAAAACCTTCTTGCAATCCCTCCCATTTCCCCCAGAAACTTCTGGCGTGGTTTTATACACATAAAGCAATACAAATGTAATGCTGAAGTTCATTTTGCTTAGCAGTTCAGTGAGTACAAGTTTGTTTGAAAATGATTGTTTCATGCACTGTTAAAAATGATGGTAAGATTTTATGGAAGTTCCAGAAAGTTGTGAGATTGAAAGAAGAATAATTTACCAGATAAGATTGTGTATGGGTAAACATAAGAACATTACCAGGTATAAAATTATATAGTTAACTGCAACCTAATGAATATCTTCCAAAATAATAGCTTTCATTGTTAACTATTGGGTTATCTAAAGTAATAGGGAGGAATGTTTAAAAATGTAGGGCTACTTGGGCACTATGGGCATCATAGACTATCATCAAATTCAGAAGTATTTCAGTGACTTTTTCAGCAGAATATTGTGAGAACAATATTAATAGAAACAAGTTTCACTTTTCTAGAAATGTATCTATGAGTATTTTGAGACCTCTGAGGAATGGGGGGAAAAAAGATATGTAGATTTTTTTTTTTATTTCAATCAAGTTCTATTTCATTACATGTTGTTTGACTTCTCTTTAGGTACAATTAATTCTCATCCGACAGCACAGGCACAGTTGTTCAGTTGGTCAATTAATGTTTTCTTTTGTTTAATAATGCAATTATAATGTATTACATCTGATTTTTGTTTAATAATGCAGTTATATATGATTTAGCCCTCATTCTATTTTAAACTCTTCTCTGTCTTTCATCCTAGCAGAGCTATGATTCGGAAGTTGTCTTAAATACATGGATTTGATTTTTGGCCAGGAAGTTAGTTCTGTGTTGTCATTGGGATGGTGTGTTTTAGAAAAGAAAATAGATCTAGTAGAGTTATTAAATAAGAAATACAGTTCCAGAGACATCCTTACTAAATCATTATGCAAATTACAAAGTGTTGACTATAAGCCTGTCTTTATATGTTTATATGGATCAAATAATTGAATTTGAAGACTTCAGTAAGCTGTGTGTATATATCGCATAATTATTGGTATAATAATTACTCCATTTTATCCTTCTTTTGGGTATAGTATTGGTGATGCACAATGAGGAAATGTAAAAGAATATGAAGGCTAGAGCCAGCCGTATGTGTGCAGCTTTTGCACGGCAACTTTTAGGCAAGTGGGAATTTTGTGGGGAGCTTGGATAACTCCTCAGCTATGTACTTTACCTGTTTCAATATAGGGTTTAGCACAAATGTGTTTATACATGGAAATACGTAGGTTTACAGCTTGGCTTTTAACATGCTTATTATGTGATCACTAGTAAAATAACCAGTGACTTGAAAATTATTTGTAGGGTGTGTATAGTGTGTCATCAAAATGGTTCATCTATCAATAATATCAATAATCAATCTCAAAGACAAAAAGGGTTCCTTTTCCAGAACTAGTCATTTTGACCCTGTCATTCTGCTTTTAAGAATTTTTCTCAAGGAAATATCCCAAAGTGCAGATTTTTTAAACAGCCATGATTCATGAAGATGTTAATAAAATTTTATTTAGTAGAGAAAAGACATAATGAATGGAACAATATGTAGCTTTTTTTTCCTCTATTTTGGAAAATATTGTGCAAACATAAAATTTGTTAAAATATATAACAATTGGAGGAAATAGGACAAATTTTAGAATCCATGTTTCATATAGTGGTTTAAAATATCCTCACTCAAAAAGATACACATACTTATGTATATATAGTTCGCTTTTGCAGAGAGGTAGAAAATCTACCAAAATGCAAATGGTAATGGTCTTTCGACCATAAAAACATATGCCATTTTTTTTCAAAAGGCACTTTAAACATTCATCAAATAATTTGACTTTTATGTAAAATGCTGGTGTGATGGTACGTACCTTGAGTTTGAACAATGAGCCAAAGTACAGGCAGCAGGACCCAAGACATGGTGGCCACTGCAGGTAGCTGGGAGATCCCACGCAGCATGAAGTTGTGGTCTCCCCAGTGTCCAGTTTTATCTTCTCCAATTTCTCTTTAGAAGTTGAACAAGAAAATTAAAACCCCCACTTTTCGTGTGAGATTGGGGAATGTTTCTTAAGAGTGTTGGGAAATTGTCAAAAAATTGCAGTGTCAACATCATGAGAATGTTCCTCATCTTTGAGAGATATTTATGGCTGTGGTTATAGCTCATTGAGGACTCACATCTGGACACTGTTTGCCCCTGGTGCTCCTATAAGCAGTGGGAATGTGTGAACTGAGACTGAGGTGGTCGCGTGCATATCTACATACTCACCAAACTGGACCATTACGATTGTTGTTCAGTATCCTTATAGAAATAAATCCACATATTTAGGACATATATCAGTATTCTGTACATATTTTGAGATACTGTCACAGTGAACACAGAATCTAAAAAGCACCAGGTAAAGTCCTACAAACCAAGATACTGAAAATCTCTCTAACATTCAGTCTCCTAATGAGTCAACAGGGGATGCTGATAATTTTAACTGCCTCAAGATTCTTATAAAATTCATATGCATTTGCACACACACATATGCACATGCATGTAAAATTGTAAAGAAATGTGCATGTATAAGAAATGTACAAGAAATTTAAATAACCTTGACAGTGCTGGCCTTAACCGAACTATACAACATATGAAGTATGTTCGAGGTGTACTTTCTGAGTTCTACCTTATACAATAACAATGTTTCTCTGACAAATATGGTAGATTTTCATGATTATAATATCACAAGTTTATTATGAGAAAAAAGTTGACTGCCAATGATCCGACATCAAGAAATAACTTCTGTTAACGTTTTTACAATTTATTTTCATCTTCTTATGCAGAAAAGGAAAGCTAACCTTATTGGGCAAAGGGTTTAAGAAACTTATTTTTTTTTCCATGGCACTATGACATAAGCATTCTCATGACATTGAATATTAAGACATAATTTTAGTGATTTTAGAATATCATATTTTCTACATATGTGTGTGTTGAGTGTCCATGTAATGTTTGGTTGTGTATATTTCTTTAATTGAATTTCTGGTGACTTCAGGATAAATGTCTAGAAGTGCTATTATTTAGCTAAAAAGGGTAAATCAACTTGAGATTATTGATAAACATTGACTCAGTGCTTTTCAGAAAGTTAGGGCCAAATTAAATCATTATGTATAGTTTTCCCAATCTAAAAACCCATACCTTCTAACTGCTGAACTTAACTTTTCACTGATACATCTGGGAGTTTCCTAACATCTAATTGGAACTTTAAAAATCCCCTCTCTATGTCTATTCTTCACTTTGTTGCTGTTCTACCTTCCTTTAAAATAGTAACATTTTCTCTATAATTTTGCATTTCTTTTTCTGGTCCAGAGATAGGCATCCTTCTTATATCCTTTATGACCCGCCATTAATATTTTAACAAAGTATAATGCTAATTATGTCTCTATCATCAAATAATAAAAGAATCCTGGAATGGTGAACTCTTATCAGTGCCCTACCCTTTAGCACATTACATGTTGTTGTCAAGTATTTTAGTTTATCATGATTTTGACCCCCATGTTACTCATTATTTTTGTGTGTGTTTTCTACAGATGTTTGAAATTATTCATGTGTACCACCTTCTTTGCTCGCAGGTCCTTTTAGCATCAGTTATTTTTTTTTTAATTCTTCATTAAACATATTCTTTTTTATTATTTCTATAGGTTTTTGGGGAACAGGTGGTATTTGGTTACATGAGTAAGTTCTTTAGTGGTGATTTGTGAGATTTTGGTGTACCCGTCACCTGAGCAGTATACACTGAACCCAATTAGTAGTCTTTTATTCCTCACTGGCTTCCCATCCTTTCCCCCTGAGTCCCCAAAGTCCATTGTATCATTCTTATGTCTTCACATCCTCATAGCTTAGCTCCCACTTATAAGTGAGAACATACAGTGTTTAGTTTTCTGTTCCTGAGTTACCTCACTTAGAATAATAGTCTCCAATCCCATCCAGGTTGTTGCAAATGACATTAATTCATTCCTTTTCATGAATGAGTAGTATTCCATCAAATACATGGTGTATATGTGGTGCATATATATGGTATATATGCATGTATGTATGGTATACATCATATATGTGTGTGTGGTATATACATATATACACCAGTTTCTTTATCTACTCTTTGAATGATGGGCATTTGGGCTGGTTCCACGTTTTTGCAATTGTAAATTTTGCTGCTATAAACATGCAATACACAATGAAATACCACCTTACTCACATAAGAATGGCCATTATAAAAAATAAAAAAATCATAGATGATGTTGGTGTGGATGCAGTGAAAGGGAACACTTCTACACTGCTGGCTGGAATGGAAACTAATACAGCCACTATGGAAAACAGTGTGGAGATTCCATAAAGAGCTAAAAGTCTAACTACCACTTGATTCAGCAGTTTCTCTACTGGATGAGATTTGGCTATCTTTTGGTGACCATTATTGCTGTGGACAATTTTGCTTTCTGGCTATTTAGCGGGAACTAATTTGCTTATTAATTATACAACTAGTATTGCTAGGGCAGTTGAATATTTATTGAAATCATATTAAAGTTGTGTTTCTAATAAATTGCTACTACATTTCTAAGGATTCTAAGCTGACTGATACTGTCCTTGCTATTCACATATTCCCACAATAAAGTCTAATAATGGAGACACAACCACAAACAGGTAGTCTGTACAAATATGAAGTATTATGATTGATATTTGTGTATTGTGCTGAAATCAATTTTAGAAAGGCCATATCACTTGATAGGTGGAGAGAATCAGATAATACCTGGAAAAGGAATAGTGGAGCTGGTACTATGAGCAAAACCATGAGTATATAGAAAATCATACTGTTTGTTGAAGTGTATGTTCCTCATGACTTGAACGTAACATAAAGGAACCAACCCAAATGCCCATTAGTGATAGACTGGATAAAGAAAATGTGGCACATATACACCATGGAATACTATGCATCCATAAAAAAGGGTGAGTTCATGTCCTTTGCAGGGACATGGATGAAGCTGGAAACCATCATTCTCAGCAAACTAACAAAAGAACAGAAAACCATACACCACATTTTCTCACTCATAAGTGGGAGTTGAACAATGAGAACACATGGACACAAGGAGGGGAACATCACATACCGGGGCCTGCTGGGGGGTGGGGGGCTAGGGGAGGGATAGCATTAGGAGATATACCTAATGTAGGTGACGGGTTGATGGATGCAGCAAACCACCATGGCATGTGTATACCTATGTAACAAAACTGCACGTTCTGAACATGTATCCCAGAACTTTATAATAAAAAAGTAATAGGTATGTGATATAAAACTTATAACACATGCAGAGGCCAAGTTATGGGGGAACAAATGATCTTAAAGAAGGTACATATTTGAGAGATACTTAGCTTACACAATTATCAGACTTGCTGATTGATTGTATGTAGCCACTCCCAGTTGGAAGACACAGAGGAATCTAGAATGAGTTCTAAGGTTCAGCTTGAGCCACTATATAAATCTTCCAATTTGGTGTCTTGATGGAAGTTGCAGTTTGTTAATCCATTAAAAATGGAGTTATATATCCTGGGGCACCCTTCAGGACCACAGCACCATGATGATAATAGATGTTTAAAATATTCATTTAATATATGAATACCATAAAAAATTTGAAAACTAAACTCTGCATAAGATACAGATGCTGTTTATTAGATAGTTGAATATCAGCCTATAAATCAAAACTGTGGGAATAACAGTGAAGAAATTGTTTACCCAATGCATCTGGAGGGAATGAGAAATAGAATATATACAGAGCCTTATGAAGACAATATTTAAGGATTGACTAAACATAGGATTTAATTTATGATCCTAAAACTAAGAAATCACGACCAACATCCTGATTACAAAGAATTTTATTCCCATAAAGCTTGCAACTTAACATTTTAGAATGTTGCATAATAACATATTTTTGATTTGGGGCGGATGTTTAAATGTTGTCAAGCTACAAATGAAAATAGAGCAGTAACATGGACAAAAATTATGATAATGTCTTGCACAAGTAACGACTTTTGCATACATGATTTTCTTTGGTCATAATAACAACAGATACAAGTAGTCAGTTCAAAGATTGTGGTTCCCATTTTATAGATGACTCAAAGAGGTTAGGTGATCTAGTATACTTCAAATCACCCAGGTATGTAATAGATGTCTCCAAGGTCATTAAGGTGGGAAAAGACGTGCTTGATAAAGAATTTCAAATATTTTACTGTGGGAGATCTCTATGATGGCTTCAACTGCTGCAAAGAAGAAGCCTGTCTCAAGGATATGATAATGTAAGAGTCAGAGGTTCGAGATGAGAAGTAACATAGTGGTGGCCAAGCTCTGAACTCCTTTGATGCTCAGGAATCCCTATTTGCTTATGACTGGCATTGGGGGAGGGATCATGTTCCCTACCTCGGTGGTCTATCAATATATTGGAATTATCTAATGAGATAATTTTTTCCAATCTGAGCTTGTCCAAACCCACCAGGAATCCCTACTGGATGAAGCTGTGTTAATAGTAATATTAGCTAACAATTATATAGCCATGCATTGTTCTAAGTGGCTTGCATGCATTCAAACATTTTATGTTCATTACAACCCTATTTAAAATATATTTAAACAAAAAAAAGTTTAAATATCTTGTCTGGATCCTACCAATTTTGCTGACCCATATAATGTCAGTACATCCAGTTTTTCTGTTTTTTCTAATTATGAACATTTTTATCTTAAAATTATAATTGCTAAGACTGAAGTAACATAGCAAAAACTTATTGTTATATTCAGAGCCCAAATAAAGATACAAGTTTATGCACATAAATTATACTTTTTGCTATGGAGATCAATGAAATAAATCTTGCATTAATGATACCTTGATGAGCTAGAAAAAAATACATATATATAATATAAAATGTGTATAACACATTATCTTTTTGCCTTTACAATTCTCACATTTCTTCTAACATTATATATCTGTATAGTGTACATAGGTTGTATATATAATGTATATTTAATATATAATTACATATATTATATATTACATAATATATAATGTATAATATATAATACAAGTAGTGTATGTAATCCATTGTTCTTATTTACAAGTTTGTTTTGGCTCTTCTGGGTCTGCTACATTTTGATACCAATTTTGATTCAACCTATCAGTTCCCAATAAAGATCTTACTAGGATTTTGATTGGGATTGCATTGAATCATTGAGCCAAACTGGTAATAATTGATATTCTGATGCATAAACACGTGTATTTCTTCGCTTAGGTCTTTTTAAATATTTGTCTCATTGATGGTTTGTAGTTTTTAAAATAGAGTACGTGGACAAATTTCATCAAATGTGTTTTGAAATATTTTTTGCTTTTCGATGGTATCGTAAATGAAATTATTTCTCCATTATTTATTGATAACATATAGAAATACAACCAATATTTGTATACGTGTTGTATATACATATATAACATATATATATGTACACACATACATAAACTTATTCATTCCAGAAGGAAGATTTTCTATGTAAACTATCATGCCACCTGCAAAAACCAAGTCTCACTACTCCTTCTCAACATGTATGCTTTTTTCTTTGCCTTTTTATACTGCTAGAATCAGTAGAACAAATATTTGTAAAATATGTTCAAAATTTCATCAACAAATAAGTTATTGTAAGTTTTATTTTGCCCTTTTATAGATTAAGAAGTTCCCTTTCTATTGGCAATTTGTTGAGTTTTTATGAAAAATGTTGGATTTTTTTTCTTTTGGAACTTATTGAAATGGTTCTATGGTTTTTTCTCCTTTATTCTGTCAATAAGGTAAATTATGGTCTTTGCAATTAACAAACCCAATCTTGCATTCTTGAAATAAACTTCACTTAATCATGATGTATTATATTTATGTAGTATTAGTTTTTTTAGGGAGTTTTGTACCCATATTCATTAGAGATGTTTTCTTAGAATTTACTTTTCTTGTAATGCCTTTTTAAGATTGTGATATAACAACATTATGTTGATCTTACAAAACAAACTGCATAGAGTCCTATTCTTCCATATTCTAAAAGAATTTCTTTAGTATATCCTTTTTTATTATTATACTTTAAGTTCTGGGGTACATGTGCAGAACGTGCAATTTTGTTACACTGGTATACATGTGCCATGGTGGTTTGCTGCACCCATCAACCTGTCACCTACGTTAGGTATTTCTCCTAATGCTATCCCAACCCCTAGCCCCCCAGCCCACCCCCCAACAGGGGGGTGTGATGTTCCCCTCCCCGTGTCCATGTGTTCTCATTGTTCAGCTCCCATTTATGAGTGAGAACATGCAGTGTTTGATTTTCTGTTCCTGTTTTACTTTGCTGAGAATGATGGTTTCCAGCTTCATGTCCCTACAAAGGACATGAATTCATTCTTTCTCATGGCTGCATAGTATTCCATGGTGTATATGTGCCACATTTTCTTTAGCCTATCATTCATGGGCATTTGGGTTGGTTCTAAGTCTTTGCTATTGTGAATAGTGCCGCAGTAAACATACGTGTGCATGTGTCTTTGTGGTAGAATGATTTATAATCCTTTGGGTACATACCCAGTAATGGGATTGCTAGGTCAAATGGTATTTCTGGTTCTAGATCCTTGAAGAATTGCCACATGGTATTCCACAATGGTTGAACTAACTTACACTCCCACCAACAGTATAAAAGCGTTTCTATTTCTCTACATCCTATCCAGCATCTGTTGTTTCCTGACTTTTTAATGATCGCCGTTCTAACTGACGTGAGATGGTATCTCATTGTGGTTTGATTTGCATTTCTCTAATGACCAGTGATGATGAGCTCTATTTTCATGTTTTGTGGCTGTATAAATGTCTTCTTTTGAGAAGTGTCCCTTCATTTCCTTTGCCCACTTTTTGATGGGGTTGTTTTTTTTTTTCCTTGTAAATTTAAGTTCTTTATAGATTCTGGATATTAGCTCTTTGTCAGATGGGTAGACTGGAAAAATTTTCTCCCATTCTGTAGGTTGCCTGTTCACTCTGATGATAGTTTATTTTGCTGTGCAGAAGCTCTTTAGTTTAATTAGATCCCATTTGTCAGTTTTGGCTTTTGTTGCCACTGCTTTTGCTGTTTTAGACATGAAGTCTGCCCATGCCTATGTCCCAAATAGTACTGCCTAGGTTTTCTTCTAGGGTTTTTAGGGTTTTAGGTCTTATGTTTAAGTCTTTAGGATATTCTTTTATTCTGATAGTTTCTTCATTAATTTTGAATAGGATTTATCAGTGAAACCATGTGAGCAAGAATTTTATTTGTGAGAAAAGTTTTTAATTAAAATTCAATTTGTAGATATATATAAGGGAATTAGAATTTCTAGAGTCAGTTTTGTGTTTTTAAGATTAACTTTTTTATAGTGAAATAACTGTACTTGCATATGCAGTTGTAAGACATAATATGAAGAGATTTCATATACCTTTTACTCATTTTTCCCAATGGTAACATCTTGCAAAACCCGAGTACCATATCACAATCAAAACACTGACATTGGTACAGTTACAATACAAAATAATTCCGTCACCACAAGGATGCCTCCTGTTGCCCTTTTATAGCCACACCCACTTCTACCCACCTCACACCCTCCTCAACCCCCGGCAACCACTAATCTACTCCATTTCTACAATTTTGTCATTTAAAAAATGTATGTGGAATCATACAGTATGTAAGCTTTTGGGATTGTTCTCTTTCACTCTGAATATTCATCCGGTGTTGTATATAATAGTTCACTCCATTTGGTTTCCGAGTGGTATTCCATAGCATGAATGCATCACAGTTCATTTAATGATTCCTCCATTTAGAGGCATCTGGATTGTTTTCTATTTTTTACTATTACAAATAAATCTGCTATCCCTATTCATGGCATTCTTTTTTTTTTTTTTGCGTGGCATATATTTTTATTTCTCCAGGATAAACACCCAGTAGTGTAATTGCAGCATCAGGTTAGCTGTATTTGTTTTTTGTGTTTTTTTTTTAAGAACTTGCCAAACCATTTTTCAGAGAATCTGTACCATTTTACCATTTTCACCAGCGACATACGGATGATCCAGTTTCTCTGCATCCTTGCTTATTTTCAGTGTTGTCACTATTTTTCATTTTAGCCGTTCTGATTGGTGTTTAGGATTTTTCACTGTGGTTTAAATTTGACCGTGATTTTGCACATGTGCTTATTTTCCATCCATGTATCTTCTTCATTGAAATGTCTCTTCATGTCTTTTTCCAATGTTCTAATTAGATTTTTTTTTTTTTACTGCTGTGTTGTGAGTCTTTTTATATTCTAGATACTCATCCTTTGTCAGTTATGTGCCTTGCTAGCATTTTCTTCTAGGCTGTAGCTTGTCTTTTCATTCTCTTAACAGATTTTTACAGAATAAATGTTTTTAATTTTGATGAAGTCTAGTTTATCAATTTTTTCTTCTATAGATGGTGTCTTTGGTTTTAAATCTAAGAACTCTTTGCCTCATTCCAGATTTTGAAGTTTTTTTCTACGTATTTTTGTCAGAGTTTATAGTTTTGTATTTTATATTTAAGTCTGTAGTCAATTTTGAGCTAATTTTTGTATAAGTTGTGAAGTTCAAATTGAGGTTTGTTTTCCTTTTTGCTTATAAATGTTTATTCTCTCCAGCACTACTGGAAAATCTCTTCTCTATTGAAATGCTTTTGCCCTCTTTTCAAAATCAGATGTGTTTGCATGTGGCTATTTCTGAGTTGCCTATTTGATTTCATTTATATGTCTATTCCTCCATCAATACATTACAACTAGATTACTGTATATATGTATAATATGTCTTAAAATCAAGTGAACTGATGCTTCTCACTTTATTCTCCCTTTTCAAGAATGTTTTAGTTATATTAGATCCTATGCATTTCATGTAAATTTTAGAATAATCTTATCTCTATGCAGAAAAATTCCTGATGAGCTTTTTGTAGGAATTGTGCTAAACCTATATATTAATTCGCAAAGAATTGATATCTTTACTATGTTTAGTCTTCCAAACCATGAATAGGGAATGTTTCCCCATTTATTTAAATCTTCTTTGATTTACTTTATCAGCATTTTGTAGTTTTCAGGGTTATACATCCTGGATATATTTTGTTAGATTTACATCTGAGTATTAAAAAAAATTATAAATGGCATTGTATTTTCATTTCGGTTTTCTTATATTCATTACTCATATAGAAAAATATAATTTATTTTTCTGTGTTCATCTTGTAATCTGTAACCTGTTGACCTCACTTACTGGCTCTAGGATTTTTTTGGTAGATTCTTTGGGATTTTCTAAATAGACCATCATGTCATCTGCAAACAGTAGAGTTTTATTTCATCTATCATATGGTTGCTTTCTACCCCCACCCCCCACCCCCACCCCCCCCCGATCCCCCACTTTTCTTGACTCATTGCACTGGCTAAAACTTCCAGCCCATTGTTGAATAAAAGTGTTGAGAGTAAATGTCCTTGCCTTGTTCCCAGTTTTAAGACAAAACCATTCAATCTTTTATCATTAGATTTAATATTAACTGTAGGTTTTTGGTCAATGTTATCAAGTTTAGAAAGTTCCCTTCCATTCTTATTTTTTTCTGAAGTGTTTTTAAATAATGAATGCCTGCTTTGGTTTGAATGTTTGCATCCCTTCCAAACTTTATGTTAAAATGCAATACCTAATGCGATGTTGTTAAAAGGTGTCACCTTTGAAAAGTGATTAGGTCATGAGGATGGAGCACTCAGGAATTGATTAGTGCTTTTATAAAAGGACTGGAGGGAACTAGCTAGGCCCCTAGCTTTTTAAGTTTTATTATCAAGCATATAACATTTGGAATTATCATGTCTTCGTGATGAATTAATTAGTAGGAAATGCTGCTCTTTATTTCCAGCCATATATATATATATATATATATATATATATATATATATATATATATATATATATATATATGTAGTCTCTAACAAATACATAAAAAATATATATATATTAAGATATATATATTTTTTTTACTAAAATCTAATTTTTCTGGTATTCCTATAGTCACATCACCTTCTAAGGAATATTTGCATAGTATGTCTTTTTACATTCAATTTTATCTTTACATTAACACAATATATTTTTGTCAGGGTTTAACCCAGTCTTTTTAAAACTGTTTCTAAAATGTGTCTACCTTTTATTTTAGTTGCTTTGCCAATTTGTGTTTTATATAATTATTGGTACGATGAGGGGATATGCTATTTTGCTTTTTCTCTCTCCTTTTTTGCATTTATTTTCTTATCTCTCTCCATTTTTTGCATTATTTTCTATTTCTCTTTTTCTTCCCTGCCTCCTTTTATTATTAAAATATTCTTAGTATTTTTAATTCTTTTATTGTATTTTTGGTTATATACTGTAATACTTTTATAGATGTTTTTACTTGTTATTGGGTGCATATGTACAGTAGCTCTAGGTTGACAATTGTATTATTCAGCTTGCCTAAATATTCTTCCTAGCTTTTTGCCTATTTGCACTATTCACAACCAAAAAGGAAATGTTGAATCTGACACAGTGAAGGTGGATACATGAACTTCTCCTTGTAATTTTATAAATTTATTCGTTATAAAGATATGTAAAACTCTATATTGTCTTTGCAAATTGTACCTTTTAAAATTATACAGTGACTCTATCACTTACCTCCTCCATCCCTAATGATGCTTTCCACTGTAAAGTATGTATATTTGATAATTAGGTGCCTACATGAGTTGATACATCTATTGCTATCCGTTTGTTTTCAGTCTTTGCATGAAATTCTATGTTAGATGTATTATTTAGAAATAACGTGTACCCATATTTTATCTAGTCTGTCAATCTTTGTCTTATAACTTATCCACCCTGCTTCATATCCCTTGCTTTCCCCCAAGCCCTACAACATATTGATATTATTGAGACCTATAATGCCTGAAAAGTAGCCATGAACTCCTTGTGGCTATTAAGATTTAAATAATTAAAATTAAACACAATTTAAATATTTTGTTTCTCAGTTACAGAAGCCACATTTCAAGCTTGGTAGCTGTGTGATTATTGGCTACCATATGGAATGGTGAAGGTACAGAATAGTTTCATCACAGAAAGTTCTATTGCACAGAACTGATCTAGGCTTTCAAATGAGCATAATTATGGATATAATTTCTGGTTTTATTTGGTTATAATAATTTTGTTTAGGATACATAATTTTATTGAGGTACTTGGTTATCTCTGTTTCATATGTCTCTTGCAGTATATTGTAAATTATCTTTATTCTAATTTATTAATTTATCCAAAAATACTTTTCAAATGGTTCTTTACATAGTTATGTTTCTGTAACCCTGTATTCCTGAGTATATTTTTTAACTAAACCATTATAACTGAGGGACCATTTGAATGTAAAATCCTAGAGTCTAAGTTCTGAAAAGAACTTAGTATTGAAGGAAACTTCAATACTTTACTGTTTTATTTTATTCTTGAATCTATTTCTCCTTCTAAAATTCTGAGATCAACGGGCTCTTGCTTTTTTTCTATGTGGTAATCCATTTCTCTTAGAATTATAGAATTTTCTCTTTGTTTTTGATTTTTTTATTATACTTTAAGTTCTGGGGTACATGTGTAGAACGTGCAGGTTTTTTACATAGGTATACACATGCCATGACAGTTTGCTGCACCCATCAACCTGTCATCTACATTAGGTATTTCTCCTAATGCTATCCTTCCCCTCGCCCCCCACCCCCTGACAGGCCCTGCTGTGTTACTTTCCCATCACTGTGTCCATGTGTTCTCATTGTTCAACTCCCACTTTTGGGTGAGAACATGCGGTGTTTGGTTTTCTGGTCTTGTGTTTGCTGAGAATGATGGTTTCCAGCTTCATCCATGTTCCTGCAAAGGACATGAACTCATCCTTTTTCATTGCTGCATAGTATTCCATGGTGTTCATGTGTCACATTTTCTTTATCCAGTCTATCAGTGATGAGCATTTGGGTTGGGTCCAGTTCTTTGCTATTGTGAACAGTGCCACAATAAACATACATGTACATGTGTCTTTATAGTAGAATGATTTATAATCCTTTGAACCAGATATTTTTATAATGCCATGATGTTCTTAGAGGCCAGGATTGTTGTTTTATGCCTTGTTTTTCCTTCTCTCTTCTTTGCCTTGCCATGTTTTTTTCTCAAGTCTAAATAATTCATCTCCATTATTCAAGTAATTCCTTATGTCCATTTTTTGGAAATATCCATTTTTGTAGGATTCATATTTTAATTTTAGCATTTCTACTTCTACCTTCTGTAATTTTTACTCTTTCTTATTTAAAAAATTGCTTTGCTAATTTTTGTTTTCTTCTGGAAAATTTTCTCTATTTGATCTTTCCCGTTTGCTGATTTGTTCCTCAGTTCTACCTATTCTAGTATTCATTCTACCTATTTTATTCTGTATTTCAACTCTTCCATTTTCTATACCTGAAATGTTCCTTAATTCATTTTTTTCTTGTGGTTTCATATTTCAAATATCCATTATTCCTATTAATATGTATATTATTTTTTGGCCCTTCTCTTGATATTTACGCTTAGATTCGGATCTATAATGCAGTATATTTTTCTTTTCAAATGTCTGTGCTTCTCAACGTATTGCTGTTCTGGCAAGCAATATCATTTTTGCGTGGGACTTATACTACTAAGCAATGCATATGGAGGGAAGTGCATATCATATATTATCAACCGGAAAAGCTTAGGGAGCTGGGAGTTGATGAATCTTCCTCATAGATGTCAAAACCTGGGGACCAGAAAACCAGTCAGTCACTCTCCACCCAGAAATAGAGCTCAAGTCAGATTTTCACCATTTGTCCTTAGAGAAGCAGAGTGAACAACATAAACTTACACCTTTTGGAGGTTTGAGAGGGGGTGGAGTGAGAAAGCAACTGCCAGAGGTTAGTTTCATTTTCTCTGGTGTCACATTGCACAAGGTTTCTCTATTGCCCTAAATTGATCCCAGAGTCCACTAGGACTAGTTCCAGCTTCTGCAGGGATGCACACAGCACTGTGTCCGAGGCAAAGTTGGCAAGTGGCCAGAGAAGCACAACAATGCATTCTCTTTCTCTCTCTCAGACTCCCCAAAGTGCCTTGTGACCCAAGCCAAAGCGTCACACAGCCCAGGGTCCAAAATTAAACCCACTCCGGTTCCCACATTATCTAGGGGTTTCTTCCCGTTTCTCAGTACTTGCTGAGACTAGAGAAAAAGACAACTGTGAAAAATGAGCAATTTGCTTTAAACCATTGAATTCTTTTTAACCAAGGTAAATATAGAGATGTTTTCTTTTTTCATTAAATGTACTTACAACTACATCATTCAGTTTAGTGGGTCATTAAAACCCCCTTTTTAGTATAAAACTAAGGTGTATCAGCCTAGCTACCTTTCTTCTTTACTTCTCTATTCTGTGTTTTAAGAAGAAAACAGAACTCTAACAGTTCATGTAGCTTTAGTGGTGAGACACTGTTGCACAAAGTTTCACATATTGTTGATGCAGAGGTTATTTGAGGTCATCTGAGTCAGTATTTATAATATCTATTTGTGAAGTATCTCCAGTTGCAACAAAGTAAAGGGTGCTGGGGTACTTCAAAAGCCTAGGTCTAGCAAATAAGCATACAAAAAATGCTCAACATCATATGTCATTAGGAATCGTAAATTGAAACAGTAATGAGATACCACTACTAGAATGGCCAAAATCCAGACCACTGATAACACCAAATGCTGACGAGGATGTGGAGCAACAGGAACTCTCATTCATTGCTGGTAGAAAAGCAAAATGGTACAGCCACTTTGGAAGACCATGGGCAGTTTCTTAAAAATCTAAACATACTCTTACCAAACAATCCAGCATTAGCACTACTTAGGATTTACCAAAAGGAGTTGAAAACTGAAATCCACACAAAAACTTGAGTTGGAATATTCATACAAGCTTTATCCATAATTGCCAAAACTTGGATGCAATTAAGATGTCATTCAGTAGGTGAATTGATAAATACACTGCAGAACATAGGGGTGAAAATTTTACTTGTCCCTTTAGAGTTTGTTTTTTCAACTGGTCCTGAAGATTAAATTGATATAAAACAGATAAACAGGAGAGAAACATACAAATTTATACAATACAAGTTTTATGTGGCATGGGAGCCGCATAAAGCTCCCAGGGAACCAAGACCCAAAGAGTGGCAAAGCCTCCATGCTTTATTACATTGAACAAAGAGAAGCAATTGTGGAAAGTAACTACATTATATGGGGAGGCCAAAGGAAGGTCATTATTTTAACAAGGTCTGGTTTTACAGAATCCTCCCAGCTGTGACTCCGCATTGAAGAATGTTTCCTTTCTACTGATACAAGGATAAAATCATTCACATGGGAGTTTTAATCTCCTGTTTTCAGGAAGAAAGGTGGATGATTGGAATGCCCCCTTCTTGCACCTGCTGTAATTCAAATGACTTCAGTTTGAAGTCATCCTATGTCAAAGTGGCATCGTTTGAAGTGGTACATTCTGCTACTCTCAGGGACATCCAAACATTGGAATTTTATTCTGCCCTAAAAAGACATGAGTTATGTTGCTTGAAAAGACATGGAGAAACTTTAAATGAATATTGCTAAGTGAAAGAAGTCAATCTGAAAGGTTATGTACTGTTTGATTCCAATGATAATGCTATTCTGAAAGAAGCAAAACTATTAATAGTAAAAGGAACAATGGCTGCCAGGAGTTAGGGAGGAGGGAGGGATGAATAGGCAGAGAAAAGAGAATTTTAAGGCAGTAAAACTATTCTGTATGATACTATAATGGTGGATACATGTCGTCATACACTTGTCAAAACCCATAGAAGAGAAGATACACCAGGAATAAACCCTAATTTAAACTATGGGCATTGGATGAAAATAATGGAACAAAGGAGAGTCATCAATGATCAAGTATATCATCCTGGTATGAGATGTTGATAGTGGGGGAAGCTGTGTGTGGGAGCAGGGAAGAATCTCTGCTTTCTGCTCAATTTTTTTCTAAGTACCTAAAACTGCTCTAAAATATAGCCTATTTTTAAAAAGCCATGTCTTTTGTGCATGGTCATAGGCATGAACCTCTAATGAATGAAAGAACAGAGTGCTGCACCTATTATGAGTTTCCCAAAATGCTTTGGATTCTGCTATAGTCATGAATATTTTCTTATTTATGCTTGATATTTTTATATAAAGTTTTTCAGCAACCACCAGGAGAGAAATCATAATCTCAAGTCTGAATATTTTCTTTTACTCATTATTTACAAGCTGATCTTTTCAAGATTATTTGCCTTTTTTAAACATTTTACTTTGTAGAACTACCACTGGATCCGGCAATCCCACTACTGGCTATCTACCCAAAGGAAATGAAGTCATTTTGTGAAGAAGGCACAAGTACATGTGCATGTGCATGTTTATATGTTTATAGCAACACAACTCACAATTGCAAAGATAAAGAACCAACCTAAATGCCTATCAACCAATGAGTGGATAAAGAAAATGTGATGTATGTACACCATGGAACACCACTCCACCATAAAAAGGAATAATGTCTTTTAAAGCAACTTGGATGGAGCTGGAGGCCATTATTCTAAGTGAAGTCACCCAGAAATGGAAAAACCAAATATCCTAGGCTCTTCTAAGTGGGAGCTAAGCTGTGAGGATGCAAAGGCATAAGAATGATATAAGGGACTTGGGGAACTTGGAGGAGGTTAGGAGGGGAGTGAGGGATAAGACAACATATTGGGTACAGTGTACACTGCTCATGTGACAGGTGCATCAAAATCTCAGAAATTACCACTGAAGAACTTATCCATGTAATGAAACATCACCTGTTCCCCAAAAACTACTGTAATAAAAACAAAACATAATAATTTTATTCCAGGTAAAGTCAGAGGCTTTAGCAGTACCACCAGTTAAATATCCTATGTTTAGAATTTGAAAATTCTTTGGATAAACAGTTGACATTACAAACATATATTTTTGAATTTGAATTTTTTATAATCAAATTACTTTTGCTATTTCGGATACTAATTTGCATGAATAATCAAGATCAATACTTACAGCATACAATTAATCTCTTAAGATAATAGTAGGCATAAGATGTTGGTAGCCAACTAGAGCCGAGATATTTCCATTAAATCTTTGTTTCTTAATCAAGAGTATACATTAGATTCATCTCTAGAACTTATTAAAATACTGACATCTTGATTCCTTCCCTCTGTGTTCAGATTTTGTTAGTATAAAGTGGTTGGTATAAATGGTTCTTGATACATTTTGTCAAGAACCATTATTACATGAAGAACTCTTTCAATATTTTTAGAAAATAAAAAATATACATATTACTTTACTCTTATTTCTTTTACTCCATGCTGGATTGATTACAAACAAAATAATTAAAGGATAAGAGAACAAATATTGTAACAAACACCCTACATATACTTTAGTCACCGGAAAAGATCATCCAATATACCTAGGAATTATTCTGTAAGGAAAATACAGTTCCTCAAATAATCAACTGAGAACCTTTAAAAATTATAATTAATGATTAGGCAGTGATAAAACTGTAACCAATGTCACTAAAGCCACTGTGTTTTCAGATACTGAATTCCCTCGAAGGAAAATTTAAAGATGCTATGATCTATATTAAAAAAGTATTTCAAGTATTCTAAAAGTAGGTGAAATAACTTGTTCAGTGATGATATGAATAGGCAAGCTATTACTTGGCTTCCAAACTCATGATATGCAGCTCAGTTAGAAACAATTTTTCCATTACCCTGAGCAGTGCTGAAAGTTATTGATGAAAAGGTTGAGAGGGTGTTCTAATTTGAGCCTATGTCTCGCTTCCTGCTGGGGTTTATTTATGACTGTGTGTGTGACTGCAGTGTGGTTAGGGCAGGCAGCCAAGAGTCTGTAGCCATGAAGTACTGAGGGGCTCCCAGGGTGGGGAATCAAGCAAAAGGTACAGACAGGTTCTCTAGTTGGATACAACAGCAACACCATCCTGAGTACAAATTTTAGGTCTCAGAAGCAAAAAGAGCTGTGCTCAGTCTTTTTTATTTTTATTCACTAGGCTGATTTTGTTGTGTTTATGTGGTTTTGCTGTCTCCCATGATGGTATGTACAGCTCAGTCTTAACCATTAATTTTTATTCACTTGGCTGATTTTGTTGTGTTTATGTGGTTTTGCTGTCTTCCATGATGGTATGTTTGTTCTTTATAGACACTGTGAGTCTCATATAAATCCTGTTTACTTTTCTTGTTTACTTTTTTATTCTTAGATAGTTTGGAGTACAGTTTGGAGCTCATATTTATCAAACACGTAGGGCCGTATATTTTAAATTTCACAAGTCTCATCTGACCCATGGCTTTATGGTTTCTAGAACTTTCTTGCTTTCTGATTTTCTTAAATGTTCATTTTTGGGGGGTGTTATACTTTTCTAAATCTCCTAAGTTTGTGTATGCACAAATATGTATGTATCTTTGATGAAACATGGTATATATAAATACCTAAACGTATTCAAAAATAACAATTTTTGGTTTTCCATAGTCTTGATGATCTGCTTGCAGTTCCCTGAACATGTCATGGCCCTTGTGGATTCATGACTTAGCAAGGCTATTATTTAACTCCGTTATTTTCTAGAAGACTTTTTTTTCTCTTTTTCCTTTATAGATCTGATAAATTGCCTAGAGTTCAAGATTTAAACGGCACCTCCTCTGAGAAACTTCTCATGCCTTCTCTTGATAAACATTTCCTCTGTACTTTCTTGTTCTCATAGTTTAGCAATTTATTTTAGTGATTATTTATTTCTATATTTATGTCAGTCTCTAGAGCTAGGATGAGAATCCCTGGACGGCAGGGAAAGAGGTTAATCCTTCTAGCTCCAGTGTCCACTTAGTAAATGGAGACTTTGTAAATGTTTGTATTGCAGAATTACAGAAAACAACCAGATAAGTGTAAATTACACAATGTATTAAGCTCAGAATCTTGGTGGAAGACTTTTGTTAGTTGATTTATTGAGTGCTTACCATTTCCCAGGCTCTCTGCTAATCACTAGTAACAAGAATGGGGAAAAATGAGAACGGATTTTCAGGAGTAGAAAATCAAGGGGCATAAGATTTGACTGCAGCAGAATGGCTATTACTAAAAAGTCAACAATGGATGATGGCAAAGCTGTGGAGAAAAAGGAATGCTTTTACATTATTGGTGGGAGTATAAATTAGTACAACTGTTGTAAGAGAGGGTGTGGCGATTGCTCAAAGACCTAGAGGCAGAAATACCTTTTGACCCAGCAATCCCATTACTAAGTACATAACCAAAGGAATAGAAATTGTTCTGTTAAAAAGACACATCCACTGTCTGCATTGCAGCACCATTCACAATAGCAAAGACATGGAATCAACCTAAATGCCCATCAGTGATGGACTGGATAAAGAAAATGTGGTATATAAGCAACATGGAATACTATGCAGCCATAAAAAGAAATGAGATCATGTCTTTTGCAGTGACATGGATGGAACTGGAGCACATTATCTTAAGCAAACTAACACAGAAACAGAAAACCAAATATGACATGTTCTCACTTATATGTGGGAGCTAAATGATGAGAACAAATGGACATATGCAGGGGAACAGCAAACACTAGGGCCTGTCAGAGGGGGTTGGGAGGAGGAGAAGATCAGAAAGAATTGCTGATGGATGTTGATCTTAATACCTGGGTGATGGAATGATCTGCAGCAAACCACCATGGCACCTGTTTACTTACCTATGTAACAAACCTGCACATCCTGCACATGTACCTCTGAAGTTAAAATAAAAGTTGGAAATGAAAAAATTAAAAAAAGATTTGACTGCAACTTCAGATACACTTTCACTGGAAACATTGCCTAGAAGAATTTGTTGCTGGAGATAAAATAGAATTCTCATATTTAATAATATAGTATTAAATGTGCTTCTCAGTGCAAAATAGTTTTGCTGCAGACAGTGTGGTTGTGTGAAAGGAAGTAAGATTCCTGTGCAAGACTGTCATAAATGTTAAGTGAAATTATACATGCACACATACGAACACACAAAAATACACACAAACTTGCATAAATCAGAATGTGCTACTGTGTACTTTTGTTATTACCTTATGATATCCTTACTTTAAGAAATAATCAAATTTGAAATTGGCTATGACTTTATTTTCTAAAAATTGTATGAATTCAGTCCATGTTAATTTCCCCAAAATATGAATCCAGGGTCTTTGCACAATGCAGCCTCAGATCTAGGACAGTATTTTATTTGGCCCAGAAGTTCTGACTGAGATTCAACTTAATTATATAAGATGAGAAAACCGAATAGGATTACGGAGAAAATTCTAAAAGCACATCAGGAGAATAAAAGACCAAGGAAAAAAGACTCGGCTGGGCACAGCAGCTCATGCCTGTAATCTCAGCACTTGGGGAGGCTGAGACAGGAGGATGACTTTAGCCCAGGAACTTGAGACCAGCCTGGGAAACAGGGAGACCCTGTCACTAAAAAACATTTAAAAATTAGGCAGGTGTAGTGGTGCATGCCCATAGTTGCAGCTACTCTGGAGGCTGAGGTGAAAGGATCACTTGAGCCCAGAAGGTCGAGGCTGCAGTGAGTCACGACCATGCCACTGCACTTCAGCCTGGGCAACAGAGAGAGATGTTGTCTCAAAAAAAACTCACCAGTGAAATACGTACTCACCAATGAAATATGTACAAACAGCAAGTAATTATTTCCCCAAACCTTACTTTCTGCTTAAAGACATATGATGCAATAGACTGTTCAGAGAGGGTCTCTGTGCTGACAAGCTCAACAACGGAGTCCTCCTTCAGGTAGGCACTGATGGATACGTGCTACTTGCCTTTCTAGATGATGGACATTTCCCTCTCTTCTCTTTATATTTTCATGCTGCCCTTACATGTTTCTTAGAAAATCCTCTTTGGGGCAGGGTGCAGTGGCTCATGCCTGTCATCCCAGCACTTTGGGAGGCCAAGGTGGGTTGATCATGAGGTCAGGAGTTCGAGACCAGCCTGGCCAACATGGTGAAACCCTGCCTCTACTAAAGATACAAAAAATTAGCCAGCCGTGGTGGTGTGTGCCTGTAATCCCAGCTACTCAGGAGGCTGAGGCAGGAGAATTGCTTGAAACCAGGAGGCGGAGGTTGCGGTGAGCCGAGATCACACCATTGCACTCCAGCCTGGGCAACAAGAATAAAATTCTGTCTCAACAAGAACAAAAAAATCCTGTTTGAATATTGGCAAGTCATACATTTTTAATTTCATTTTATAGATGAGTAAATGTACAGATTGTATACTTAAGACTGGTAAAATCAAAGAATTGAAATTATTTGCATAAGGCTAAAGAGCTAGTTTTTGGCAGAGCCAGGAGGACTATCTATACTTTGTTTTCTGTGTGTGGCTTACCATCCTGCACCAAAAACTGACTTTTCTCTTATTCTCTTGTCTTTATATTTCTGCTACATTTTCGTTCCCTTATTTCCTATCTGAGACTGCAGCTTTCCAGTGGATCTACTCAGCCCTGCCATGGGCACAAAAGAACTGAGAGAGTTTTGCCAGGAACTGGCTCCTGCAGGCTCCATTTCAATTATACTTACAACATGTCTCAAGAGACCCACGAATCTCAGAGCTATTCCACAGCAGTTAGAGAGATCAAGGCCAATTTGGCAACACATGTTGATTTACAAGGGAACAGTGTTATCTGCTGAGACATAGCACTTGGCCTGTGCATTGGAGTCTTCTCTATGAGAAATGGAGCAACTTTTGCGGTCCAGCAGTTGATACCTGCTTTCTCAAAAGCTACTGGGACATCAGGAGGGGACCGTTATCTCTAGTCATAGCATCATCATTTCATTTTTCATTTAGATAATTTTCTGAACTTCCTTAAATTGTTGTTCCCATCAGGATTGCACAGCTAAGATTTCAACATTGAGCCATTGTCTGTGCTTGGTCAACTAAGCTTAGAAAGAAACAATGGATGTGGTTCTCATGAAGAAGAGAATAGCAATAACTGATTTAAATGAGGTTCTAAAATACTAGGAATAAAGTATGTATCATTATCCATTTTAAAATAGGTTTGCCATCAAAAAAAATTGTAAATTAAAATGTATAAAGTGGAGAAAAACAATGTTAATTTGAATGATGACATGGAGCAACAGAAATTATCTCCAGCCCTCTCAAATAGAAAATAAATATATTAAAAGATGATTAGGTTATTTAGCCTTAAAAATAAATGAAATGCTGATACGTGCTACAATATGGATGAAACTTGAAGACATGGTGCAAAGTGAAATAAGTCAGACACATAGATGGAAAAATACTGTATAATTCCATTGATAGGAGCTACCTAGAATAGGCAAATTCAGAGACAGAAAGTGGAGTAGAGGTTACCAGAGATTGAGGGGAAAACATAACGGGGATTTATTGTTTAATGGATATAGAGTTTCTGTTTGGAATGACGAATGGGTCCTGGAAATAGATGGTGGTGGTGGTTGCACAGCACAATGAATGTACTTATGTCACCAAATTGTATTCTTAAGACTGGTTAAAATGGTAAATTCAATGTCATATATATTTTACCACAATAAAACATAATATTTGAGTTAAAACAAAGGATTTTAGGTAGCTGAAGGACTCGACATGAGGACTGGAGAACCAAACTTGGTAGCTATGCAATGAGGAATTCCAGCCTGTATCGTGGAGCTGAATAATACAGAATGTCTGTCTCACCCTTGCCAGTCACTCAGCTGACACTGCTGATACTCCTTGCACTAGACCAGCCTTGAACCAGCAATTGGCACTAGTCTCAAGACTTCCTGAGGAACTCAACCTTATTATAACAGTGTGCATCACCAAAGATAATTCTCTGTAATTTCTGCTTTATATTACATACTTCTGATTCAAAGTTCTGGGAGGGTACATCTGAAAGGTAGATCCTTGGCCATAACTATGTCATAGGTGCAAAAGAGGGTTGGCCAGGCACTGTAGCTCAAGCCTGGAATCCCAGTACTTTGGAAATCCAAGGCAGGCAGATCACTTGAACCCAGGAGTTCAAGACCAGCCTGGGCAACATGGCAAGACCCCTTCTCTACAATAAATACAAAAATTAGAGTGTGGTGGTGCATGCCTATGGTTCCAGCTACTTTGGAGGCTGAGGTAGGAGGATTGCTTGAGCCTGGGAGGTTGAAATCACAGTGAGCCAAGATCATGCCACTGCACTCCAACCTGGTGCAAGAGAGGAGAGCAAGACCCTGTCTCCAGGAAAAAATAAAAAGAATCTGGTAACAACATGCAGAATATTTCCAGTTGCCACTGCAAATAGCAAAGGAGCTATATCTCCAAGATGTGCAATGTGGGAATCCTCTAAGCAAGGAAAGGTGTTAAGATAGGCAGGTATTAAGAATGAGAATGCCTATGTGGAAACAGTTTCATAAATTGCTAATGGAAATTTAAATTCATACATATTCCTACTAGAGAAAAATTTTTGCAAAGTGTAGCAAAAAAGTTGGAAAACTTTTAGGGGGCTAGCCAACATATAGAGTACTATCCAAAGGAAATAAGAAGTAATAAACGTTGGGTGTTGTGGATCACATGTGTAATCCCAGTGACTTGGAAGGCTGAGTCAAGAGGATTGTTGAGTCTAGGACTTGGAGACCAGTCTGAGCAATGCAATGAAACCCAGACTCAAAGAAAAAATAGGCCTTGTTTTGGGCTGCACAGGTCGCCATTAAGCACAGAAGAACTTATCCCCCAATTGTTGGCTGTGCTACCTGCAGACAGCCATCAACTTGCCTTGGAAAATGCTTTCACTAAATAAAGTCATCTTGCCCAAGGTCACAGCTCTTTTGAGAGCAATTTGTACCTGGAAAATGCTTTCACTAAATAAAGTCATCTTGCCCAAGGTCACAGCTCTTTTGAGAGCAATTTGTACCTGTGACTAGTTGACATGAGGGAGTAAAAGCTTTTCCCTTTTGCCTCAACTTGGCTTCATTCTGAAGGATAGCCCAGGTTCAGGGCTGGCTGGGCCAGCTAAAGCCTTCTTTGAGGCAGCATCATTCCCAACTCCTCCAGCCTAATCCTGCTTTCTCCCATTCCATTAAACAAATAGGGGACCTGACCTGAAAGCCCTCCATAATAAACTTCCTGGCTGCTAAAATCCATCTCAGATTCTGCTTGCCCAGGAACCCGAACTGTGATACAGAGAACTGCCTTTAGATGGTATATACACCATTGTTCATCACTGCATTATTTTAGCCATAAACATTTTTGAAAAAAGATTTCATTGTTGAATCAGATATTAAGTAAAACATTATTCATTAATAAAATAGTATTGATGGCTGCATAATATTCTTATAGATTTGTGTCATATTACTAAGTAAAATTAAAAGCCATAATACAAATAGCATAAATATTGAATTAATACTTAACTTATATACCAGACAGAAAAGAGAGGAAAAGGTCATATTTCCAAGTGTTGATTGAAATCATACTTGGTGAGATTAGGAAAAATTTTTGTCTTAGTACTTTCTCTTGTTTCTCAACCTTTCTATATTAAGCATATATTGTTTTTTAAATTTTTTAAAAATTATACTTTCAGTTCTGGGATACATGTGCAGAATGTGAAGGTTTGTTACTATAGGTATACATGTGCCATGGTGGTTGGCTGCACCCACCCACCCATCATCTACATTAGGTATTTCTCATAATGCTATCCCTCCCCTACTCCCCCACCCCGCAACAGGCCCCGGTATGTGATGTTCCTCTCCCTGGGTCCGTGTGTTCTCATTGTTCAACTCCCACTTATAAGTGAGAACATGTGGTGTTTGGTTTTCTGTTCCTCTGTTAGTTTGCTGACAATGATGGTTTTCATGTCCCTGCATAGGACGTGAACTCATCCTTTTTTATGGCTGTGTGGTATTTCATGGTGTATATGTGCCAAATTTTCTTTATCTAGTGTATCATTCATGGGCACTTGGGTTGGTTCTAAGTCTTTGCTTTGTGAACAGTATCACAATAAACATACGTGTGCATATGTCTTTATAGTAGAATGATTTACAATCCTTTGGGTATAAACCCAGTAATGGGATTGCTTGGTCAAATGGTATTTCTGGTTCTAGAACCTTAATGAATTGCCATATTGTCTTTCACAATGGTTGAACTAATTTACACTCCCAACAGTGTAAAAGTGTTCCTGTTTCTCCACATCCTCTCCAGCATCTGTTGTTTTCCTGACTTTTTAAGGATCACCATTCTAACTGGCATGAGATTGTATCTCATCGTGGTTTTAATTTGCGTTTCTCAAATGACCAGTGATGATGAGCTTTTTTTCATAGTTTGTTGGCTGCATAAATATCTTTTTTTGAAAAGTGTCTGTTCATATCCTTCACCTACTTTTTGATGGGGGATTTTTTTTTTCTTGTAAATTTAAGTTCTTTGTAGATTCTGGATATTAGCCCTTTGTCAGATGGATAGATTGCAAAAATTGTCTCCCATTTTGTAGGTTGCCTGTTCACTCTGATAGTTTCTTTTGCTGTGCAGAAGCTCTTTAGTTTAATTAGATCCCATTTGTCAATGTTGGCGTCTGTTGCCATTGCTTTTGGTGTTTTAGTCATGAAGTCTTTGCCCATGCCTATGTCCTGAATGGTATTGCCTAGGTTTACTTCTGGAGTTATGGTTTTAGGTCTTACGTCTGAGTCTTTGATCCATCTTGAGTTAATTTTTGTATAAGGTGTAAGGAAAGGGTCCAGTTTCAGTTTTCTGCATATGGCTAGCCAGTTTTCCCAACACCATTTATTAAATAGGGAATCCTTTACACATTGCTTGTTTTTGTCAGGTTTGTCAAAGATCAGATGGTTGGAGATGTCTGGTGTTACTTCTGAGGCCTCTGTTCTGTTCCATTGGTTTGTCTCTCTGTTTTGGTACCAGTACCATGCTGCTTTGGTTACTGTAGCCTTGTAGTATTGTTTGAAGTCAGGTAGTGTGATGCCTCCAGCTTTGTTCTTTTTGCTTTTTTTTTTTTTTTTTGGGTGGAGTCAGTCTTGCTCTGTCACCCAGGCTAGAGTGCGGTGGTACGATCTTGGCTCACTGAAACCTCTGTGCCCTGGGTTCAAGTGATTCTCCTGCCTCAGCCTCCTGAGAGCTGGGATTACAGGTGCCCGCCATCCTGCCTGGCTAATTTTTGTATTATTGGTAGAGATGAGGTTTCATCAACTTGGCCAGGCTGGTCTCGAACTCCTGACCCTCGTGATCCACCCACCTCAGCCTCCCAAAGTGCTGGGATTATAGGCATCAGCCACTGTGCCTGACCAAGCATACATCTTTTTACAGAAGAAAATTAAATAAGTATTTTATATTTGTGATTTGTCCAGATTTTAAAATAACATTGTCAAACTATTTAAAGTAACAAATAGTTTTAACTTTGTGTGAGGTGGGAGCAACATAAACGACTTAGTCATCTTAGTCATTTAATATTGAGATGTCAGATATATCCCAAGAGTATGGACTTTAATATGAGGTGAAGGAGATAAACCGTTTAATGTTCACAAGAAGTTGCCTTCACAATAAATTGTATACCGTAATTTTCATGCTTAGGATTTTTTTTATAACAATAGTATTCGCTTAGCATACTACTAACAGTAATAGTGATACTGTATTAAGTGTTGGGCATTGTAGCAGACCACCCAGGCCTAGTTGCTAAAAAGTGCCTAACATTGTCAAGGGAAAGCCTTTTTATGGAAGCAGCAAAAGAGACAAAGTGAATTCAAGGGCAGATGTGCCAACGTGGCTACAGATTTTGTTAGAGGTGTTTTCTCCTGAGTTGGGATCTTCCCTGACAAGGTGGAGCTCAGTATCTCCACACAGCTGTGCCACTCTTGGCTTGGCCCACTTTGGAGAAAAAAAATTGAGGAGAAAAGAATATGCAAGACTTGCTTATCACCCCAACCATTTCCATATTTTTCCATATTACATCCAGATGCTAGTGTATGCAAATTATTTAGCTTACGCTCAAGAGATGGATTCTTTGAACAATGACATATGATGAAACAATATTAAAGCTGATAATAATATTGGATGCACCAACTGAAAAATAGCAATATAACACTTAGGAAATAATGGTGTCTTTGAATGATGGGGAACATACTAGTCAAGTGGCTGAGAAAGCATGTACTTCTGAAAAATATTTACTGTGGGAAGCAGTAATAAAGTTTATACACATTTTGCTTTAATTTTTAAAATATCTGGAAATATAAGTTAAAAACAGTTAATTGGTTAGCCTTTATAAAATTAAACTGATAGGAAAGAAGAGAATGTTATTAAGTAAACAAGAGAAACAACTATATAAGTAAACAAGAGAAACAACTATAAATTTTGAAATTAGTGAACAGGAGGACTGACAGTACAGAATATAAAAACCAGTAATTTGGAAGATAAATTTAAGGAGTTATCCAAAATTACCAAGGAAACACAAAGTGAGAAAGAATATGATAAATGAGAATACTGGCTATCAGAGATTTCAAGCAAATCCTCGGTGCTAGTAAAGAAGGGAGAACAAATGGAAGAGACTAGAGACACAAAGAAAGGAAAAAAAGTTTTGCAGTGATGAAAGCCTATTAAATATAGTTAATTTTACCTAAACCTATCTGGAGCATTTAAAACATTATATGGTTTGGCTCTGTGTCCATCCCCCCAAATCTCATTTTTTTAATTGCTATAATCTCCACATGTTGAGGGAGGGACCAGGTGGGAGGTGATTGGATCATGGGGGTGGTTTCCCCCATGCTTTTGTCGAGATAGTAAGCTCTCAAGAGATCTGATGGTTTTATAAGTGTTTGACAGTTCCTCCTTCATACACATCTTCCATCATATGAGATGTTTCTGCTTCCTCTTTCATCATGATTGTAAGTTTCCTGAGGCCTCCTAGGCCATGTGGAAATCTGAGTCAATTAATCCTCCTTTCTTTATAAATTACCCAGTCTCAGGTGGTATTCTTTATAGCCATGTGAAAACAGACTAATAGAAAATGTTTGTTCTCTACTTCCTTGTATCAGCTATCTATTGCTGCATAACAAATATCTCCAAACCATAACAACTTTAAACAACACATATTAATTATCATACAGTTTCTGTGGGTGTGTAATCTGGACAAAATTTAGCTGCATCCTCTACTTCAGGGTGTCTCACAAGGCTGAAGTCAAGATTCAGCTGGGAAGGAATCTAAAATTCCAAGCTTATTCAGTGGTTATTGGTAGACTTCACTTCATTTGAGGGTCGTTGAACTCAGGGGCTCATTTTCTTAATGGCTGCTAGCCAGAGGCCACCTTCAATTCCTTAACACATAGCAGTGATTTCCAATGTGAATAATAAAATCCTAATTATAATAATAACCCTTTCCATATTCTCTGACTGCAACCAACTAAAATTTGCTTTCTTTTCATGCATACTTCATTATTTTATAAAAAGCTAAAAGCCTTCCCAAAGGCCATATAAAACCAGTAATTTGGTGAGTTGTAATAAGTAGACAAACACTAAGGTATCTTAGAGTAACTGGATAAAAACATAATTTAACCTAATAATTTCACTGTTTTAAAGTAGACAAGGTAAAAATAACTAATGATGAAAACAGGTTTGGTGGCATATCTGAGGTAGTTAAATGTCAAATAAGCGGAATTCCCTTAAAGTTAGAAAGTTACGGATATAAGTAAGTGTGGAAACAGTATTGTGAAATCAAAAAGTCTGTTCTAAACTATTCTGCAGTTGAGCTGAAAGGGAAACATTGTAGGACTTGGGTTCGCAGTTCTATGATAAAATAATGGTTTTCCTGTCATTGTACTGCATTTCTTCTCTTCAAATAGGACGTATGATGCATCTGCATCAGGGACCTAGTGACATCATTTAGGAACTTGCAGGCATGTTCACATGCCACTGCTTTTGAGAGTGTATGGTTTAGTTTTTGCTTGGGTTATGGTACATGGCTAGTTGAGGATTCATAGATTTAAGATTTCCATTCCATCAGTATAAAAAAGGATTAGGTGAATCTATTACTGGGGACAGATATTTAAAAAACAACAACAACAACACAGAAAAGTTCACAAGTTGGTCACGAGTACATAATGGCTTTCCAGGAAATAGGGATTTATTTCTGGGTCAGGGGAGGGTCTTCTGAAACCTCACAGGGCAGATAAAGCTCTACTTTTAAAGTTGTTCTTCTGCAAATGCCACATGGAGAAAAAGCCTGTATCCTTGACAGTGATTTGATCAGTGGACTCTGGATTTCCTGAGGACTGAGCTTCACTTTTGAGGCCAGAGTGGGCTTATCTAGAACCTCATACTGCAAGGGTAAATGAACCATAAAGTTCCTCATGAAGCGACAGGCCTGTGGGGACCAGGTAAGTGATTGATAGAAATGGGTGAAGCAGACAAATACAAGAAAAACTGTAGCTGTGATGATGAACTAAAGCATGTTCCCTGATTATGGAAACAGCTACTTTACTAGTTAGGATGATCTCTGTTGAAAGTGAGAGAAAATCCAATTCAAAATGGCTTAAACAACAAGGAAAATGTATGGCTCATATAATAAGGAGTACCAAGAAAGTGTGAGGTAACTCCAGCAGTCACTGATCTACCAATTCCATGACATCATTGAAAGGCCAGGTTTTATTCTTTTCATCTTTCTGCTCTATCTATCTTTTTCAGCCTTCATAATCACCGTGTGGAGCGCAGCAGTACCAGCTAGAGTATTCAGATGCCCATATCCAGAAAAAGAGACGAGGAAAAATTTTCCAGAAGTGTTGTAACATAATTCCTCTGTCGTCTTACTAGCAAAAAAAAAAAGGGAGGGGGAGGATTATAAAATCATCTCCAAGTCGACCACTAGCAAGGAAAAATGAGGTTATTTTAATTGACTTGACTTACTTAAAAGGATAGGGATTTATCCCTGAGATAGATAGATTAGATAGGATATTCTTTCCTAGAAGTGGGCAGGTGAACAAAATTATTGTTCTAAAAGCCAGGAAAAAGGGGATTATTTGGTAGGAAACCAATAGTGTTTGCTACATTACCCATCAACTAAGCTGACGGTTGCTATGGGCAATGTAAGTCTGTTGTTGACAAAGCATCGGATTACTTTTAGATTACATCTGACAAAGCTGGGAATCTATTGTTTATGCAAGATCTCTCAATTTTTAAATATTAGCAATACATTCAAAACATGTAAAAGTACTATGTGTCCAATATCAATATCATTCAGACCAAATATATTTGCAGTGCAAACATGGCCTACAGGTCACCAGTTCGCAACCTGGTTTATCCTATTAATTTAACTGAAATTTTCTCCATTTAAAAAGTGAAAACCACTTTAACCATGCCAGTAATTAATTATACAAATATATATGATAAAACATTTTTAAATTCTTAGTTATACCAAATTGTAGAAAACCTCAAATGATATAGCTAATAATGATTTCAGAAGCTAATCTAGGAAAGAGATCCACAAAACAGAATTTTACATCATTTTCTTAACTGTGATTGTAATTTGACAAGTTAATGGTTAAAACAATCAAGATGTTGCAATCAATTGTACATTTAATGGATGTACAATTTTTCTTATTCCTCCAAGATTAGTGTGATGTTTTTATGTTTTGTTTTCATTAGAGAATGAATCAATTCCTATTACAGATTTTAACTTCGGAGATATTTCTTTACAATCATCTTCCTTCTTATAAGAATGGATAATTGAAATTTTAAATTCATGCAAAGGTTCTCAGGCATATGTTCCTCTTGAAAATTTTCTTTAGTCTCTTCAAAGTCTAACATGAATCAGAAAATGTTAACCTTCTTGAGTCGAGAGCAAATACTGGTGAGATAGATAGTATATTTCTCTGCCATCCAGATTTTCCAGTTTTCCAAGTTGATAATTTAGCCATTAGTTCTTGCTTAGCTGTTGCTTCATGCTTTTGGATTTGAGTCCTAAAAAAGACATAACTTCTAAATGATCAACTTTCTTCAAAAATTTAGATATTTACTATTATGAAGCTGAACTATGAAGAAATTAAAATTATCTGAAGTCAGTTTCTATTTCATAGGTCACTTGATACAGCAAAAACGAAGAAGTAGAAATGTGAGAGGATAGGAAGGGAGTGAGAAAAACACTACACTAAGATCTAAGTATCTATCCGGTAATTAGCATAATATGGAGAAGGTAGGGGACCAGAAGGAGAGTTACAGGATACTATACTTATTATTCTATGGGAGGTTTCTTCTCATGTTCATCCTTAGGGAATATTTCTGAGAAAATAAATAATATTGGTGTCTACATAGCTTTCTAGCTGAGAATCTTCTAATTTCTCTTTTTAATTATTGGCCATACCGAGAAATAAGACTTTCATGTTGGCACCCATCTCCAAATCATACAGATACTGTTCTTAGTAAGTTTTTTTCTAAAAAGACATGGTGGGCCTTCTCTTGACAGTAGGAGATTATAATACAAGAATATAATAATTTGGCTATAGATCTCTTACCTTAGGTGTAGACACTGGATTATCCTTGAAAACAGTAGGGGGAAGTGCGTTTGTGTCTTTATGCTACGTTAATTATAAAAACAATGGTATGGCATTAGAAATGCTATGCTTGTCCCATCTTAGCTATATTTATTTCCTTAATGAAATTATTTCCTAGCTCTTCTTCACTCATTTAAATTCTACCCAACTTTCAAGGTCCAGTTCAAATTCCAACTACTCAACCAATGAATATTCGTCCTACTTTAACCACTCCAAGCCCGTTGACTTTCTCCTCACCATATTTTTCCTGTCAGTGTCACTCGTCTTGGGCGATACTACAAATAACAGTTGAAGAATTAAGTGCTCCATTTTTATATGACTTGTTTTTTCTCACTAAAAATGTGAAATTTCTTGAAAGAAAAAAATCTCAAATGTAGGTCTTTCTCATTTACCCACAGCAGAATACCAGGCACAAGAAAAATGCTCAGGAGCCATTTAATGAGTGAATGTACTGTAATTCTTACTTCATGAGCACCTGACTCTTATTCCAGGTTTGCTTATATATGGCCCATTTTTCATACCCTACCTCCTACAGAAAACTATGACTAATATACATAAAGTAAAATATCACCTAATAAAATTTTATCTCCTTAAATAAACATCTAGAAATGAATCTTTGAGACCTCACAGAGCAGAGCTATTTATCGTTTCTCAATAATTGCATAACAGCAATACTATTTTTTATAATAAAACATCAATATCCATACTAATTTATAGACAGGAAGTTTTAGATATCCCTGGGACAAATGTGCTGTGATATTTCAAGTTAACCTCAAAAGTACACATCCTGATAACCGATGGATGTGGAGACAGTATTTGCAATGAGCAGGTGAGAGATTAAAAATTCACCAATGACTATCTGATACTTACAAGCAAAGAAGATGATATAGGTGCAGGAATTGGCGGTGGTGGAAAATCTGGCTTTGTAATTAGCTAGTAAAAGGATAAAACATTTACATTCAAAGATAGGGTCCTGAAAATAGGCGTGCATAAAGAAAAGACTTAAATCATTTTCAGAAATGGAGAAGCCATGACCCCACCCATGAGAATATTGTAAAATATGAGTTTGATTGCTTTCATTTAGTTGTACATACACAGTTGAGACCTAAGTCCAATGTCAATAGGTATCTGATAAAGATGATTGCTATAAACTGTATGTTTGTGTCACCCCACAATTTCATATGTTGAAACCCTAATCCCCAGAATGATGGTATTTGGAGGTGGGGCCTTTTGGAAATAATGAGGTCGTGAGGGTGCAGCTCTCATGATAGGATTAATGCCATTATAAGAAGAAGCACAAGAGAGATGCTCTCCCTCTGCTATGTGAGGATACAATAAAAAGGCAGCTGTCTACAAGCCAGAAGGCCGCTTCACCAGACACTGGATCTGCCAGCTCCTTGAACTTGGACTTCCCAGTCTCCAGAATGTGAGAAGTAAATATCTGTTGTTTAAGCCACTCAATCTATGTTAATTTAGTTACAGCAGCCTGAGCTGATGAAAACAGTGGTACTCTATTAAGCAGATTAGTCCTCTTCTTGTCACAAGTTGGCATGGAGTGACATACATGTTCATTTTTTTATATTTTCAAAATATTTTGCAGAAGAATTTGTATTTTATATTAATATTCACATAGATTTCAATATTGTCCTGAAGAAATAATGAAGTGTTGTGGGCTATGACTTTCACCGATATTTCCTGGAGATTGAACTAGGGTGGTATTTAAGAGAAGTTGCTAACTCACAAAAGAGGCTGGGGGCTCATTGCCTTCTACTGGCAGATCATACACATGGGGCTTCATCTGACTCATCTGAAAAGAAGAACGAATATTTCAAAATGAACCATTAGTTTCATAAGCACAGTTTTTAAGTAATTTTTAAGTAAGCACTTTTCAAGGCATGGAAGCTTGGAACTAAGCTGACACCAAGAGACCAGATAGAAAATCACAGTGGTCCTGCTGGCGTATTCCATAGAAGTATTTCCCAGAGCTGTAATGAAAAGTTTTCATCAAAAAATGATTACCAATGTTATAAATGATTACCAATGTTATTAACCAACTTCAGCTAAAATCTTTAAATTTACAGGACATGAGTAGGACATTTGGGTTATAAATATTACATGTATTATCATACAGACATACATATTTTTGTATCTATTTTGTCAATTTGCAAAGAAATAAGCTAGAGGGAGTGTGTGTGTGTGAGAGAGGGAGAGAGAATGAAGCAGAGACAAAGAGAGAGACAGACAGACATCCGGTATGTGCATTCTTTGTTCTCTTTATTCTGTTTGCATTTCATGAACCCCGGCAAAGTAGCCTCGGCATTTTAGGGACTCTTTTGCCTTTAACAAAAGGCAAAGGAGACATTTCTGAATGTGTTACTGCAAAACGCTGCTGGGTAGAAATGATAGATAGGTAGTCAGGATAAGAGTGTGAGAGAAACGCAAAGTGGGGCCATGGTAATCACAGCCCAGACTATATAGTTCACCTCTTGGGGTTGAACAGCCTTTACCATCTGGGGTTTCCTCTTCTGTTTGTGTGGCCTGGTGCCAGTGGTAGATAGTGGCCTGTAAGAGAGAAACACATGATATCAATTGACTTAGCAGCTCCTTCAGCATGACAGGGAAACTCCGTAGAAGATTCCCAACTTCTTTTTCCCATTGTGTCTTTCTTGCCTATTGCCTGGGTTTTTATCTGCTCCCTGGGTCAGTTTTTACTTCCCCGTCAGCCTCTTTCATTGCCTTGTAATTCATAATCACTACTAGTTTTCTTTTTTCTCCAAAAACCCCTGACTTCTAAAAATGATAGTGTTGAATCCAAATTTTATCTAAATTATGTTGTTTTATTAATGTCTTACTCAATATTAAAAAACTCATCATGAGTAAATAAGTCTTTCTTTAAAAGTGCTAAAAAAAAAAAAAAAAAAAAAAAAAACACCGTTGTGCCAGAATCACGTTCGTGAGACAAACCCAGCCTCCACCACTTACTCTGCAAGACTGAAAGCATGTTTGCTAATAATCTCTCTGAGCTTGTTTCTATATCCATCAAAATGTGAAGTTCCTAACCTTGCAAAATTGTGTAAGGGTTAGCATAAAACATTTCTCATCTGTAAAATGAAACTCATGACCACTTTATGAAGTTCTTGTGAAGTGTAAATAAGATAATAGATATAAAAGGGCTTAGCACACGGCCGGGTGTGGAGACTCACACCTGTAATCCCGGCACTTAGGGAAGCCAAAGTGGGTGGATCATTTGAGGTCAGGAGTTTGAGACCAGGTTGGCCAACATGGTGAAACCCCATCTCTACTAAAAATACAAAAATAACCCGGTGTGGTGGTATGTGCATGTAATCCCAGATACTCGGGGCTGAGGTAGGAGAAGTACTTGAAACTGGGAGGTGTGGAGGTTGCAGTGAGCCGAGATCGCAGCATCGCACTCCAGCCTGGGCCACAGAGGGAGACTCTTGTCTCAAAAAAAAGTGGGTGGGGCGGTGCTTAGCACAGTGCTCATCGTATATTGATCAAATAATGTTAGATATTATATTCTTACAACAAATTCAAAAAATCTGTCATAATGAGAGTTAATATCACTCTTATTATTATAACTACGGTGACTAACAGAAGGAAAAACAAAAAACATTTCTAGATGTGAAGGATTTCTCAGTTAAAGGGAAACCCAGTTTCTCGTCCAAAAAGACCATCTGCATGTATTTCTGAATATTAGAAGTAAACCAATTCAATTTGAAAGGATAGGTTATACATTGAATTTAAAGTAAAGTAAAATAGGGGTCAAAGAGTCCCTACAGCAAGATAAGATAAAGGATCACCTCTGATCTTTCTTCTGCTTTTCTCTGGAGCTCTGGTGCCGGATTACCATAGCAACCACCACAAAAATGACCGCCATTGGGAACAGCACCCCAACCACAATGGAGAAGTCTGCAGCAGAGAACAGGGGCCCGCTGAGGACTGCAGAAACACACATCTGCACAACACACTAGTCCTTGTTTCTTTACTTAGCACATATTCCAGCTACCCTTTTCTCCAATGAACATAAATTCCCATAGCCAGTAAAATGAAAAAGTATTTTGATCAGGATAATTATATTAATATTAGGTAGAATAAATACACATGAAATCTATAGGAAACATTTAACATGAAATAAGTTAAAAATCATAATATTGAGAATACTTAGATAATGTTTGTAACAACTGGGAAATGAGCTGGGAGATTAGAAGAGAATATACAGTAAGGAAGATGGCAAAGAAGAAATGAAACATTTTTGAAAAGCAGTCTTGGAATAAAACAGAGAAAAAGAAACTAAAACTTTGAAAATACATTCCTGTCATTAGTGAATAAGAAGCTGAGGTGTGACTAAGAAGACAAATAATCGAGTGTTCCACTGATGTTGGTCTACACTGGAATTAGACAGGAAGTTATGTGACCTTGAGAATGAGGAAATGGTTTGAACAAATATTCCTGGGCCTCCATGGTGTTTTTTCTTGTACTGACAAATTTAAATAATGAATATAACTTCACTCTTTTGCTCTTAACTGTTCATTTCTCTTACAATAATCTGAAACCACAAGAGACCAGGAAGGAAAAGATTGAAAAGCAATGCCAAAAGTTACCGTTCTCTTATTACAGAAATCAGCAAACCAATAGCATGATTAATATTTGTATAAATGCAAGAAAAGTTCACAAGTGTGAGCACACACACACATGCAGATAGAGGTAGACACATCAGAAGCAGAATTCTAGGTAAGACAATGACTTTAGTTCAAATATTCGCTACTCGCCACCCTCCATAAGATTCCAATCCAAAAAGTCAAAGGAAAATAAAACAGTGAAGCATTCTGTTATAGTGTAGATACATTCAGAATGAAAAACATACACTTACTTGCACTAATATCAGAACTGTAACTATTTTCAGAAGAATGACATATTATCAGAGAAATAAATGGGAATTTGGCAGTACTTCACAAACACACCAAACTTGAAAAGACATGGTCTGGAGCTAAAATTGGGGCACAGGACAGATGGAAGTATAACAACGGAAGGTTTGCAGGTGAAGATAGAAATCACTGAAGAGTAAGTGCAGCCTCTTCTTGTTTCTGGTAATGGTGGACTAGGAAATTGAGATCAACCTGCCCATTAAAAATAATCTTTTAATCTTTAAATTTTTTGCAAACAAGCAAACAAAAGCATCCTAAAAGTATAAAAGTACTTAAATGTTAGATAAAATTACTTTGTAGAGATTAGTGAGTGGGCAAGGACCTGGAGAGACAGAAAATAATCCTAGATAAAAGTTCAGAAATGCAGAAAGAAATGAAAGGCAAATGAACCAACAGCAAACCCTAATGTAAACTGTGGGCTTGGGGTGATAATGATGTGTTAATGTAGGTTTATGGAGTATTTGTTACCATCAACGAATACTCCACGAGAATGGGGGATGTTGATGGTGAGGGAAGCTGTTCAGGAGTGGGAGTTGCTGGGTATATGTCAACTGTCTGTTCTTTCTCTTCAATTTCGCTGTGAACCCAAAACTGCTCTACAAAAGAAAGTAAGTTAAGTTTATTTTTTTAAAAAAGCAAATGAATTGGGAAGTTTTAGGGTAATCATTAAAATATAAAAGAAATGCATAACATCCAAGTTAATAAAATAATAAAATCAATAAGTCTATAAGAAAGTAAGAAAGGAGAGAAAAGGGAACATAAACAGGAAAGACAAATAGAAACTATATAATTGTGGATTTATACCCAAGTACATCAGTAATTACATTTAATTTAAACGGACTAAGTTCCTCAGTTAAAGAAACAAACAAAAACCAAAGATGTGAGTACTACTAAAAACTATATGTGCATGCTTTCTTTAATAAAAGAAAAAAAGACTTAAAACGTGATTCAGAAAGGATAAAAATGAAAATATGGAAAAATGTTATTTCAGGGCAAATACAGACCAAAACAAATACGTTACAGCTATATGGTCTCCAGGAAGTGTATATTCTCAAAGGTAAGAAGTGTACTAGATAGACACAGCACCATTTCATCATGATACACTGTTCATTAATTTGGAAGAAGCAACACTCTAAACTTGTATGTATATAATAATACGCTCTCAAAGTATAAAAGTATTGATAGAGCCAGAAGTAGTAATCAAATTCACAATTACAGTGGGGGGTATTTTAACACTCCCAGCACAGTAATTGGTAGAACAAATAAACAATGTTAGGCTTAATTTATATATCAGACAATTAATAAACTTGATAAACAAAATATCTGGAGAATACTACAGAACACGTATATGAAAAAATCACAGTCCAATATCACCCATGAATATAAAATAGCCAAAAAATACAAATTCTTCCGGAGAATATAAATGAATACTCTCCAATACACTTTATGCGACTAGCATAACCTTGATACCAAAATTCAGCAATTTTTTCAATATGAAAAAATCACAGTCCAATATCACCCAAGAGTATAAAATAAGAGTAAACATCCTTCACTATATAAAAAAGATATTATTTCTAACTTAGGTTTATTCAAAGGTTGCAAAGTTAGATAAATGTTCACAAACCAATTGACTTATTTGACAGTACTAATAGAGTAAAGGGGAAAACATTTTAATAAATAAGGAAGTATTTGACAGAATTCTTAGAAACTTGAAAGAGAACTAGTGGACCTTAATCCAATCACTAGAATGGATGATCTTGAAAGCATAAGGTAGAGAAAAAGAAGAAAATGAGCATAGAAAAATTTCATACATACAAACTTTAAAGACTCTTGGTGATAATGATGTGTCCGGGTATGTTCATGGATGTAACAAATGTATGTCTCTGGTGACAGTGTTGATAGTGAGGGAAGCTGTGTTTCCTGTGTTTAAAAACTTTATACACATGGAATTATATAACCAAAAGCTGCTGTTTAAGGATGTGTATTTAGGAAGCAAAACTACAAAGAAAACTAACAAAATGATTATGACAAAAGAAAGATTAATGGTCAACCCTTAGAGAAAGAGGGGAGATCAGACTGAAAAGAGGCAGGAAAGCAGATGTCTGGGTCTATTTCTTGGCCCTTATTATATTACATGAGCGTTCATTTTGTAATCATCAGGTTTGCCTTTATATTTACATGTCTGCTCTATTATGTTACACACAAAAAGATGGTGTTAACAATAATCTTGAAAGCCAATGGCTGTGTATGGCCATGTCGTAGGGCAGTGCTCTTAAACTTTGTCATGCTGCAAATCATTTTGGCAATCTGATAAAGCCTATAAACCCCTTTTCTGAGTGTTTCTAAATTCATTCATAAAAGGCATAAGATTTAAAGGAAGCTATTGATGTTGGGATACAGTTGTGAAAATATTATAAAACAATTTATGATATAGTAAAATATGTGTTTATTAACCTCTGAAATAATCAGTTCTAACAGTAGGTCAGTAATTACCAAAATTTCAAACAAATGATACTCATGGGGTATTTGGAGATACATTCAACAACTGCAATGAGATATTAAAGTCTTTGTAATTTCTATTGGTGACAAAGTCATGGAATATTGCTAATACTATTATGGTTTATAAGCCATACATTCCCATAATTGTAGAAAATTCTAAACTAACTTTAGAATTTAATGAAAATAAAAATGTAATTTTTTCCCATTCAAGTTTAGATTTAGGACCATAGCTATAGTAAAAATTGTCATCCTCTAGGGTCTGTCCTCTTGGTGCAAGGACACTTCTGAACTAGGAAATGTTCCTCAGTCTGTCTGAGGCTTTCCTTGATGGTTAGATAAGAAATAGCACTGAAAGGGCACTGAACCCACTAACACAATGCCCTAAAAAAAACAAGGCTTGGGGGATAAAGTTGAATTCTGATGTAGTGGTTTCAACAAACAGAATAAGTTGAGAAAAGCTTCCACTGTATGTATTTTGAACTTCTCCAGCTACCTCCTTATCCTGCTAAAATACAAATTTCATGTAATATACCGTAAAGTTGTATCGCTAGTCCTCCAAGTTAAAAATTTTGAGAAATACTTTTAACAGTGCTTATCAGAATTAATTCAACCTTATTGGATGATAACTAAAGAAAAAGCATCGGTTGAATCAAAAGATTAGGTATAAAATAACACATAGAAGTAGAAGTATACATAAAATGTATACTCTCAGAAAAGGAGTATAAAGAATCAAATTTAGGGTACTCTCAATGCAATTAAAATATAGACTGTAAAAAAGCTAGACAGATGTGAAACAGGAGAAAACAACCAACTGGGATAAAAAAATATTTCAAAGACACATAAAAATGCCACTGAATAATTTTAAATGTCATTATAAGTAATAAGAGAATTAACATTGCTAAAAAATGTATATTATGATACAGAGAATAATCTTGAAAAACTTCCCCAGAATTAACAAGAAAAATGACCCAATATGGAATATAATATGGAGATCACACAGTGGAGATATTTTGCATAAATAATTTACATTTCTAAATCAGAAACCAGAAAACTGAAAGAAAATAAATTTTAAAACCTAGAACAACAGAAACATTTCTTCAATGGAAGAAAAAAGCAAATCCTCAGTTTAAAGAAACTCACTAGGTAACATCTTAATGGAAACAGAACATCACCCAGGAATAAAATAGTGATTCATTTTGATTAATTAGTAATTAAGTAATTAATTCTAAAAGCATTTAAGCAAAACAAACCTAATGACTTTTAAAAGGGATGTTATTTAACATCAACAGAAATCAGTCTGGCCTTGTTTTTTTTTTTTTTGACATTAAATATAAACATCTACTTTAACAGAGTTATGAATGCAAAATTATGATTTAAAAAATCAAATTCAATCAAACCTGCTATGCATGCTATGATATAGAATATTAATTGAAATATTAAAAATATTTGGCAACAGAAATACATTCTCATAAGTACAACTTAGAAAGTTTTATGTGGATGCATTGTTACACCAGGAAGAAATTAGTCATAGAGGTGACTTAGCAAATCAATAGATATGTCAAAATAAAGCAGTCAAGAAAGTCATAGTTTAAAAGGATTTTTAGTGAGCATTGAAACCATTAAAGAGTTTTCTAATTAAAACAGTTGATTATGTTCATGCCCCTTTCAAAATACATGACAAATACATGTGTATATAATAAAATCATAGGGCACTAGAAAAAATAATTTTAAAAATCTTCAGAAAGATAGGAAGTTAAGGGATTTATGTGGATGGAAACAATAAATATAGACTAAACATCAGAAATAAATGTTCTCTCTTGAAAAGTCTAACAATCTGAATTTGGGGCAGATATCTCACTGAGGTCTACTTCATCTCCTGTGTATATAGAACAAGATTGGCTCATCACCTGAGATCAAAATCCTAAGAATTTCTCCGTTTCTGCAAACAGAGGATGCAGGAACATGAACAGGAGGACAGAGGCTTCCTCTAGATACCTACACTATATCAGACAGAGAGGGGAGCGTCAATGAGATGATGATGAGAAAAAGCAGCTCTCTCAGGAGAAAATGTGGTGATGAGCTCCCTCCTCAGGGTAAAATGTTCCTCGTAACAACTGGAGGTGGGTCCCCACTCTGGCTCCTTCCCACCCTGAAGACCTATAGGCAGACCTGCCTACCTGCCCATAGAGCTCCCAGCCAGATTCCCCCATCAAGAGAAATATCAGTAGGTACAACAGCACACACAAATGCAGAGACATCCCGTGTGAACTAATCCAGCTCTACCAATTCCACATTGAACTAAGGATCACATATCCTGAAGAAAACTAGTACAACAGAATACAAGTGACGTGGTGACAACAGAACAAACCAACTCAAAAGAAACAGATAATTCAAAGAATAGAACTGAACATACAAAATAATAGGTCATATTCTTAGAGAGTTTTGAGGATATTACATTTTTCCATTAACTTGAGGCTGCTATGAAAATGGAAGAGTCCTAAAGTAAGAAAATTTGTGAAATTAAAATAAGATTACAAATATAAAGGTTGAGGAAATTTTTTTGCATGTGCAGTGAAAATGAAGACACGGAAAATATAATTAAAAGGTATTAAGGAGATTTGGGGGATAAATATTGTGGATTCAACATCAACAGAACAGAAATTTCAAGAACAGAGAAAAGAAGCAGTGAAATCTCATATAATACAAAATAAAGGCTTGGAAGAGGAGAGCAATTTTCTCAGGTTAGATGTGTAATGTTACCTACGGAAGACCACTGAGGAGTCATCGCAGTCGGGAGGGATCCATCCTTCCTCACATTGACACTGGAGCTCATGGTCACACACCTAGGGGAGCAATGATCCTGTTACTGTCCCCGCTAGGCTGACCAGAAACTCAAGGCCCTACTCATCCATAATAAAGTTCATGCAGAAAAAGGAATAACCCCAGTCTCCAGGCTTCCATCTATCTACAAAAAGTATGAGTGAATGAGAGGCATTTCATGAATGATTCCCAGAAGAAATTTCTCCTTGAACCATGCTACTGAAGGCTTGGATAAACTTAGTAATTATCATCATTTAAAGCTGAAAATATTCCTTTAGCTTTCTTATGACTGACCTAGAATGTCATAAGATTCAGAGAGCTTAGGGAAACATATTTTCAGAACTTACAGCATGTCCTTTGCACTTAGATGAGCAATTGGTTGATTTGTAGGCTTTCTCAATATCCACACATTCTGCATTAATGCAAACCTGAAAGTGATGTAGAAAACATGAAGCTTCATCTTCTCTGAACGTAGATGAGAAAGTTGAGGTCTGTGTGAAGAGGCTAGCAGATGTTGTTTAAGGTGGCTCTGCCAGGAGGCTGATGTAGAAGAAGGGAAACAGAGACGGGCTCTGTTGCTTACATTATCCTCTTAGTTAAACCAACCCAAAAAGGTTGATAAAGTCTATCTAAGAATTTATGTATTTTTAAAAATCCAAACAACTGTATATCCCAGAAGCAATGACTATGCAAGAAGTTAAGGGATAAGCAATAATGAGATGATCTTAATGCCAGGGGACCCAGAAACATCTCAATTCTGCCCTAGTCCCAGTACTTCCCTCCCTTAAGGCCCAAGCACTGCAACATCCATGCCAGGTCATGTGATAATGTCTCAATGTCTTTAAAGGCTTCAGCACTAGAAAATACAAGGAAATTAGTAAAACCTGGAAAACGCAGTTAAATATTATATTTTATATAAAATTCCTTGCCCTTGATGCTAGCATATGTTTCAGGAAAAATGGGGGAAAAGAATAAGTTTAAATACTGTGGGTACTTCTTATAGGCAAGACCTAATATTTTAATGTCAAATCAGCAGATTTATAAACATTGCTAAATTTTTATTTTCAGCTCCAGGGGTTCAGAGACCACGTATAAGCAATACCCACACTGAACCACTTAGATAATTTTGGACTCATCATTGGATAAATTAATATTTAAATAGCCAAATCAGTTTAAGTAAATAGGATAATATTCTGAGGATTGGCTTTACCACAGTGAAAAATCAGGGGAACTCTTTGGTCATGTGGATATCTTAGTGAATATATAAAGAGGGTAATTCTAATCTCTTAAGAGAGACAAACCTCATGGTCAAAGTTCGTGAATTGATTGGCCCTGGCTAAACAGTACTCGTATTTAAGTTCATTATATTATTAATGATATACAGATCTGTTAAATGAAGCCCAGTATCACATACACTGGCACTTTCAGTGAGTTTTCAGACTTCGTCTATGAAAGTTAAACGGATGCTACTGTGTGTTATCTGCATGACGATATGATACTCTTCTTGAAATAATGACTATGAGAGTCAATTATTTCCAAATTTCACCACAGTGTTTGAGAATGTTAATGTCAGTGCTTATTCCTGCTATTTACTAGGTTCTGCGCCATTTTCATTTCTGTGTTCCAAATTCAAACTCTGTGGGTTCTATTAAGGCATGGCGAACCCCAAAATCGGGAAACAAGGCACATAGTGAATAACCGAGGGGCAAAACAACAAAGCACACCAAAGTAAAAAACACTATTTTGAGTGAAAGCCACAATTTCAACTTACCTTGTTATCGCCACACTTAGTTCCATTGGCCACCATGCCTATTTCTTGACTTGTGTCTTCAGGATCAAATGTTTTACATGTCAGGAAAGTCACTATCCGTCCTTTCCAGGGCAAATTATCCGACCCACCTTGACAGAACAACTTCCCACACATGGTATCACTGAGGAAAAAGCCAAAATGTATTGCAGGATTCAAATTGCAGTTTTACATAAATGCTCTAGGACTATGGATATTTAACTGATGGTATTTTTCCCTGTAGCCGAGACTCTTAGTTGTACTTTACACTCATTTTCCCTTATTTCTCAGTAATAGGATGCCTGAACGTTAGCACAATATATTATTGCTCAAATAAACAGTATTACCTAGATCCCTGTACACCTAATTTTTGCCAGTTGCCGAAGTGCTGGCCCATGAGAAGAAAACAGAATCTTAAGCACAAATTCTAGAAGGTGGCCTTAAATGAGGAATTATCTTCTATTTCTCAACATTTTCTCATTTTTTGCTGATTGGAGTATGATAGCTAGAGAAGCTATCATAGGCCTAGAGAAACACATGGAAATGAAAGTCATGTGGATGATGGAGCTAGAGGATAAAACATGGATTCCTAACATCATGGAGGCATCTGAGACATCAATTTCTAGCTTGTTTCAGATAGGTTACTCATTTATTTGTACAACTGGCTGCAGAATAATTCCACCAAAAGAAAGCCCAAGTCTCCACTATAATGCTGTCAGAACAAAGCTGAGCCTCCCTTGACACTGCAAGGCATCAGGTGGAGTTACTAAAAGAACTGTCTCCCTGAAGGTGCAGATTAAACTGCTCAACACTCACTCAAGCCATTCATTTACTGCCAACAGGACTAAAAGACAATAAAATGGAAGTCAATTGCTTTATGTAGAATTCGGAAGAGGGCTGTGAAAAAAGTATCCAGAAAGTGATGGCATCAGATTTTTTGATCTCTCTTGGCTGTAGAAAATATGTTTGAGGAGTGGAGAAAGGCATATATTCTCTCAAAATATGAGAGTGTGTTTTTCTTGAATCACTTAGGTAAAGCGATAAAGGATGGTTTAGGGCACAGGGAATTTCAGGCTAACTCTTCACTATAGCCAATGACTACTGAGAAGTGACTAGGAGGGTAGTTTGTGGGGTGAAGGAGCTGCTTGAGCCACTAGAGCACAGAAACTAATGCTCATGCAAAGAGTTATATGGGACACTGTTGTGTGCACAGACTGCAAAGGAAAGATGGCGAGACCCACTCTCTTCCCATTCACCACCTACAATTGCCCTTCCTCTGGCCCTCACATACTGCCTTTTACATAATTTCCTCTTTTGAATCTGCCCTGGTTTCCTATAAAGAAGAGACCACAAGACCACCGAAAATGATTGTTCTTTAGGCACAGATTCTCCCAAGAGATAACCCTATATCCAAAGTATAGTTTGGTAATACCTGTCATTCAGAGAAATTCGTGTCCAATAGACAAACTTTGGGAAATGTTGATCTTGTGCAACCTCTTGTTATATATTATTTGGTATGTGTAAAATTTAGAGCAGGTACAAAGAGTTTAATCTATAATTGGATTTTAAAACTCATCTCAAAATTGCAGAATTAAACCATAGAAAAATCCCAAGTTCTTCTGGTGTGCTGTTCTATAGTGTTTTCCCGGATATCAGTACTAAAACTAACAAACTCTTCAGATGAATTGTCAATATTTTCATATTGTATTTTTTCTTTATGTAATTCTACTGAAAGTTTAAAAAACTGTTCAAGCACTGCATCTGTTATTCCTCTGGGTAGATAAATATTTCTACTCTGAATCTTACAAGGAAAAACATGAGATTGAGAAAGCATCTGATTTATACTGGGAAATCCCTGGACAAATTTCTAACCAGACCCATTCTTTGTGGCATGTTCCATCACAACCATTCATTCTACCCAACAATGACTGTGCTTTGTGTCATCTGAAGCACCCACCATGAGATACTTGAAGAAAGAAGCCATTTCTTATTTGTTGTTTTAGACTCGGTACCTAGCCCACATCATGGCACATAGTAGTTACTCAATAAATGTTTGTCAAATGATTGATGACCAAATGCACTTTCCCTTTAACTGGAATAAATCAGAATGTGTAGCTGGAAGTGTACCATTGCTCTAGTCTGTGAAGCAGGAAGGTTCAGACAAGGCCACTTACTTTGCTTTGCAGGGAATGAGTGTGTCATCCACTCTGCGACAGTACCCGTACTTTGACCCACCTTCATTCCTGTTGTAACATGACTTATCTGCAACCTCAGTTCCTGGGACCAGGATCAGTCAGCAGGGAAAAGAAAATAGATTTTTGAGATTCAAGAGATACTTGAAAATAAAAGATTTTAAAGATTCAGTGCTGGAAAGCGATTTATAAAATATAAAACAAGCAAGAAAAATACTATTTTAGCATAATTCCATTGACCACTCCTAGAAACATAGGCTGTAGTAATTTGGTATCAAATGAGCTGGCTGGAATTACAAATAATCTTTTAAATAATCTGTTACTCTGTAACAAACTCCTACTATGTGCTAGGTACAAAAATAGGCATCACATATTTCATGTCTCAGGTAATCTTCCTCAGATCTCCATCAGACAAAACACATTGTTAAGAGCCCAGGCTTCAAGCAAGACTGAGTAACTGTGTGAACATGGGCAAGTGTCTTAACCCCTCAGTTTTCTCATCTGTAAAATAAGGATATATAATTTATATTTATGTGAACATATATATTTAATATTTACACATATATAAAAGTATATATATACACATTATATATGACAGTACCTACCTCAAAGAGCTGTTTTGAAGATTAAATTACTTAATATAGGTGAGCCACTGAGAACAGTGCCTGGTCAGCAGTACATGGTTGACAAATACTAGCCATTCTTATTGCCATTCTCAATTTATTAATAAGGAAACAGAATCCTATCAAGTCACAGAGAAAGACCTATGTTCCTTCTCTGTGCTGAGGTACCCTCTCTTCAAGAACAAGTAATTCTGTCTTAAACGTTTGGAAATTTTGAGTCTAGCCTTTGACAAACAGCAAGCTAAGTTAAAATAAACACCTATGAAGATACGGCATTGTTTTTAAGAAATACTTTTAAACGAATTTCATGTTTCAATGTGTAAGATAAAATGAGTTTTGTTACTTTTTATTATTTGTATCTTAGTAAAATGTATTCATGTTTTATTATAATACAATATCTACATGGAAGAAAAGAATCATTAGTCATGAATAATCAGGGAAAAGCATGATATTCCTAATCTACATGGAAGAAAAGAATCATTAGTCATGAATAATCAGGGAGAAGCATGATATTCCTAATCTGAGACTTCAGAGTTATTGCTGCTGATATTGCAGAAGGTATCATTCATATATCTGGCATCATGCTGTTTTATAACTTCTTGCCAATTAACAATATAGCTGTCCTTTCCCCAGGCATTAAATTTTCTAAAGCATCACAGCTGCAAAAATTGTATTGAATTAATGCACTTTATTTAACTAATCCATATATTTTGGATTTTGAGATGTTTTTCAGTTATCCACTATCATTAAAAAATGCTGGTTGAAAAATCCTCATAATTATTTGAGTACAATTGCTAGGAGAAGGAGTAAAAAACAATTATTTTTAGATTTTGTGTATGCATTTTTCTGTCCGTAAAGATGATGCTAACTTGTGTATTTACCAGCAGTGTACGAAGGGAGTTGTTTGGTTATGTTTTCTGTGACACTGAACATTAACATCTGTAGCAAACTTTTGCCAATTAGCAAATGTAGAAGATTAACTTGTTTTCATTCAGGTTTTGTATATTGCTAATGAGTTAAAATGATTTTAATTTTACAGGACATTTGTATTTCTTCTTTATGACAAATTGCCTGCTTATGCCTTAGCCACATTTTCAATACTTGGAATTAGAATTGATTTGTGGGAATGATTTGATGCCAAAAAGAATGATTTTTAAATTACTTACAAAGTTGCAAGACTTTTCAAACTTCCCAGATTAATTTAAAATAAATACGTGATCCTCTGTGAATTATAAAATTTGGAATTTTGTTTAGGCAAATTGTTTTCTCTGGCCTTTTATAATGGCTGTATTTAAATGTATGACTTAAGAGGTCTACTCCATTTCCTGATCAGATAAATATGTTCAATGTTAATTCAATAGACAATTTTGAGCTTTTTACTAAAGCCAGACACTGTGCTGGGAGGCACTGGGAATACAACTGTGAACAATGTAGACAATGTCCCTGTTCCAGGAAGTTTACAGATTTGCCGAGGAGACTAATCATAAAGTCGGACAAAGGAGGGAGGAGGGTAACAGTTAATATTGTTTGCAGTTAATATTTACTACAAGATAATAAAGGTGATGCTCAGAACTTCACCTCTGTGCTAAAGATTTTCTTTCTCCTGGTTTTTGCCGTATACTGAAGTTAGCCAAGGAAACATGAGCTTCTTAACCAACAATCAATTTTGTTTCCACCTTTAACCTGGCGCATCCACGAAGTGGAGGCAAGATTGCTGAGGCCTGGTTCCAGGATACTAGTGAGCTTGCTGACATACTAAGGGAATTGAGCTTTGCTCCTCAAATTGTGTCTCAACCCGCTGTAGCCAAAGACAGAGAAGTTTACAGGGAGGTTTTTCTAGGGTCTTGTCTATTTGTTTCCCAGGTTTCTTGTTTTCACAGTGCATTGCAAGTTAGGAATTTTTGTTGATTTTCTCAATCTTGTTTTAGCTCTGTTTTCAGGAATTATGAAAAGTTTCTGGCACGCAATGACCCCTTTCAAATAATAGGACTATGTAGATTTTCTCTATTTTAATAAATATTGTTTCAGTCATTTAAGTAGGAGTCTGAAACTATTAGGAAGGGAGTATGGCAATTAAATACATGTACATCATACACATCATATCCAGAAAGTCCAAATAACTGGTTTTTAAAAACTTGCCTTTTTTTTTCAACTTAAATTTTGTATCCTCTGACCAACATCTCCCCACCTCCTCCCTGTCACACCCTGGAAACCAGCATTGTACTTTCTGCTTCTATGCGTTCAACTTTTTTAGATTTTAGGTATATAAGCTAGATCACTTATGATCTAAAATTGACTTTCTAATAAAGTTATTTTTCTTTTTTTTTCTTTTTTTTTTTTTTTTTTTGGAGACGGAGTCTGGCTTTGTCACCCAGGCTGGAGTGCAGTGGCACGATCTCTGCTGACGGCAAGCTCCGCCTCCTGGGTTCAGGCCCTTCTCCTGCCTCAGCCTCCCGAGTAGCTGGGACAGGCGCCCACTAGCACGCCCGGCTAATTTTTTGTATTTTTAGTAGAGACGGGGTTTCACCGTGTTAGCCAGGATGGTCTTGATCTCCTGACCTCGTGATCCGCCCGCCTCAGCCTCCCAAAGTGCTGGGATTACAGGTGTGAGCCACCGCACCTGGCCAAAGTTATTTAATACTATACAAATTGCTGTTTAAATTTTCGGATATCTCTTTAAACTTTTATTTTTCAAGTTTTCTTGGTGAAATTAGAGAATATGGTCTCTAAAATTTTGGCATTATGGACAAAGCGACCATTTAAGAACTTTCACTTTTCTTTATTGGCTTTCTGCATTTCCAGAGTTCTTTTCTTTTTTCCATCTTTTCTTATTTCTGTCCCATCCCACAGTACTTCTGCCACCCCTGCACACACACACACACACACACCCGCACACACACAGATTTCCAAGGGTTTATGATCTTAGTAGGGTTGCCAGATGAAAAGAAAAAGACACCCAGTTTAATTTGAATTTCAGATACACAAATAATTTTAGTATGAGCACACCTCAAATATTGCATGGGATATACTGATGCTGAGACAAAAAACAAAAAATTAACAAAAAACTTGTTAATTTTAAGTTAAAATTTAACGGGGCCATCCTTATTTTTACTTGCTAAATCTAGCAACCCTAAAACCAACCTCAAATCTTAAAACCTTTCCATGATTTTGAGTTCAAAGCTTCTAAGAAGGATAGGACAGAATGGTCCTTTGACCATGGTTAAACACTGTCATCTGAAATGATTTTCCTTCGCACATGCACAGGGGAAAGGATTTGTCCTCCTACCTGGTCCCCACAGCTCTGTGCACTGCTCCTGCAGTGTGGGGCATGTCCCCATCAAGCAGTGGCCCTTCCCGTGATGGCAAGGGAAGCCATTGACTTGGAATCTATCATCAGGACAATTACCAGATTTACCATTACACATTTCAGGCAGGTCGCACTCATCTTTTGCTGGTCTGCACACCATCCCAGCCTTTTTAAACTGTAGAAAAACAAAAATAGAAGGCTTTTTATTCTCCCTACCTGCTTTACCCTAATACCTCAAATTAACACAAATATTTTCCATTTGGACTTTTTGGGCATAGTAGTTGGAGGTGTCATTTCACTGAAGCTTACATTGTCATAAATTAAAGCCATGATCTGTTATATCACTTCTATTAATATTGGTTAATGCCCTAAGTTTTTAAGCAATATTTCTGAATTTGTATCAAAAACACCAAAGAAACATAATGTAGAAAAGTACAGGACGAAAAAAAAAAAACAGGCAACAACTTAGATAAAAAGAAGGGAGTTATTTCTCCTTTTGTTGGATGCATCTCTGTCAGGAACTCCAAGGAGATTTAAATCTGCAACTTCAGAGATTTACTGGTGAATTGGATCTTCGGTATTCAAGGAGATAAGCTTACAAGCACCAGATCAGCAGACTCGGACTTTCCCAGGCCTCGAGTTTCCTAATCCTTAATCCCTTTTATTGTAGGTTCAGCTATTTCCTTTCAACTCACTTCTTCCATAGAATGACTTATCATGAGGGAGAAATAAGCAAATATTCACTTGATATACTAACTCAGTTGTAATCAATTACTGCAAATCTTACTCTTATTTGCTCAGAGAAACTTTAGTGAAACAAATTCTGCCATTCCTGCAAAACTGAGAAAGTATGTTTGTTTGTTTGTTTTCCTTCCTAACAGGAGCAGGTATGTTTTCAATGCGTCAAATAACTTTAAATATCTTAATACCAGTGACGGGATCAAATCCAAATTTCCATGCAAGCATGTGAGATCCTACAAATTCAACCCAAAGCTCCAGTCAGAGAATTCCTTACCACATACCAGACAAACCATGCTTGTATCTTCTCTTATGTCTTTGCTGTTTCTGTGCCCTCATTTGGAAATTCTTTTATGTCTAAATCTCTTCTGTCTAAAATCTTTTTTCAAGTCCAGTTGAAAGCCCATTTTCCCACCAAGTCTCCTCTGACACCTTTAATGCAAATTGCTGCTCCTGCTTTCTTCATGTGCTTGGGAAGAGCCTCGAATTCATATTTAGATGACAGGAATTTGAATCTCGGCTTTGCATGTGTCTGAGTGCTGAACTTTAGAAAATGGATTTAATCTCTCTGAAAATCCCTGTCCCCATCCAACATCTACTTTACAAGGCCATTGTGAAAATCAAGTGAGACTGTACGTAAAAAGCTTAATATATCATTATGCTATCTACAAGGCCATTGAATCACACATTATATTTTCATATGTTTCATATATGTATATCATTGCTCTAAATAGTAAGAAACTGGATACTTTTTTACCTACCATAATCTCTAACAAATAGCATTTACTAAACACTCTTTGAGTACTGCTTAAGTTCTCAAATTTACTTCCTTTTGGACTTCTTTCTTTCCTCTCTCTCTGACATTAAAAACAAAATAACACCAAACATTCCCTATAAAACCTGGTATGCCATGTGCACATTCATGCTGCAGTTACAGATCATTTAAAATGTATGAAATTCTGTGCTAGGTGAAAGTGAATCTGTCTTCTGGCCTTAGGAGTCAATCTGAGTATGGAAACAAACCCTCACAATATAGAACGATATGCAACAACAGAAAGTTAAATACTAAACTTGAAGGACAATTCAGAAAAGCACCACAGAGAACATGAAATGGCATATTTAGAAGAATTTCACCCTGAAGTGGCTTCAAAGATTGAAGATGGGGATACCCCCACACTACTCAGAATAAAACCTCTTCCACCACACACATTGTTAAAGGGAGATACAATCAGTTTTGTGAGATTCGACCTGAGAAAGCCATGGAGCATGAGAAACAGCAGCAGGTAGGAGTAACCAGCTTTGGCTTTGGAGATGATCACACTTGGGGTTATCCTACTCAACAGTGGCCATGTTTATTTTTACATTTTTTTGTTGCCTGTATTTAAGGTGCACATGATTTAATATGCATATATACAGTGAAATGCTTACTACATATGTACACCTATGTGCCCACAAAAATTAAAAATAAAACAATTTTAGAAAGAAATGATTACTACAGTCAAACAAATTGATGTATCGGTCTCTTACATAGGTGTTGGTGTGGGTGTGTGTGTGGTGAGAACACTTAAAATCTACTCTCTTAGCAAATTATTAACATACAATACGGTCACATTGTACCTGTACCTATAGTCATGTTGTACATTAGATCTTTAACCTTACTCATGCTACATAACTGTAACTTGTCCCTTTTGACCATCATCTCCCCATTTTCCGAGCCTCCTTGCCCTTGGTAAACACCATTCTACTCTGTTTGCGTGTATTCAACGTTTTTGGATTCCACATACAAGTGAGATCAGTATGCAGTGTTTGTCTTTCTATGCTGGCTTATTTCAGTTGGCATAATGTTCTCAGGTGTATCCAGGCTGTAGCAAATAGTGGCCATATTATTTTGTTCATTTTCTACTCTGCATTTTTTTCTCAAAAACAAAATGAAATAATATCTACTGTGAAGGATCACTGGAAGATTCAATAGGCCATGTGTGTAGAACACTGAGTAAGTGCTTCATAAATAGTAAATATATCATTTTATATAAAGAAAAATATTGCATTGCTTATTTCAGTTAACATAATCACTGAGATGTTAATGTATAAAAATGTAATCATAATTATTAAAATAGAATAAAATAATCTTACTTGGCATTTTTCACAACATTCTCCTAATGCACATTGAAAAGTTGCTTTGATTTTACATGTCTTAGCATCACAGCAAATATTGGTACATTCCTAAGAAATATGAGAAACAAATGTAAATGCAACATTACTTTTTGGTCCCAGTTCAGCACAATTTGTAACATACTATATTCATCAGGCATATGTTACTTTCGTGGAGTCTAAATAGGACTTTTTCAAAAAATATAAAAAAAATTAGAAAACCTGAAATTTTGGAGCAACTGATGGTTTGTTGTTTATCTGAATTCCACTTACGTCATTTTTCTATTAACTAGTTTCCTCAGTCTCCAATAATATTAAGGAAAGATCTATTCTTTTTGGTAAAATATGAAGAAAAAACACAGTTCTTGAAATAAGATTTGTCTAATTATAGAATATAATTCCTTCAACTCATCAGTTATGTACATATCTAGCAGTAAATCCAATTTCTAGGATATCCACTGAAAAGCTAAAGATACAGCTCTTTATCTAACTTTAATATTTAATTCAACTGTGCTTGAAGCAAATACTTTGTCTTAGTCTCTCTGCTTTGTGTCAGAATCCTGCCTGCAAAAGGTATTGGAGAAACTCTTACCTCAAAAGTGTTCCCCTGCAGCTGTCTAGATTCCCATAGAAGACTGAGAGTTTCAGGGTTACAATATTTTAGGGTTAAAACTCTAGCCCTTAGTTCAAATATAATCATCAACCAGGACAGACTACTTTTTCTCATAGAGCAAATAAATACATAATCAAATATATAATCATATTTCAAAGTTACTGAAAGCCAGTACTCTGAAGGCTTGATGCATTATTTATATTAAGCATCAATAACATGGAAGCAGAGGTCCCATTCAAAATCCCAGCTGCCCTGTGAAGAGGGTCAGGACAGAACTTCTGATGGTAATAACTCCCGAGTCCCAAAGCAGTAAGGGATGAACCAGATCCCTGTGCTGGGTGGTCTTGCGTTTCAGAGCTGGAAACAGATACATTTGAATCCAGTTCTTGGCTCCTCCATTTGCCAGCCCAGTGACCTTGAACCAGCAAGCTATTTGTACTCTGGGCACTCATAGTGCTCTGTCTAAAGTAATACTGGGTAAGTCATAGTCACGTAAGGAGCTTCAAGTATTTCACTTAGAAAGGGAGGGACGAGGACACAAGGCCCAAGTTAGTAAATAGTCCTTAAAAAAAGGAATGAGGTTGGAAACCTGGGGGAGAAATTAGCAAGGTCTGTTCAGAAGTGCAGGGTTCCTTGTCAGAAAGATTTTCCTGGAAAATACCTACAAATGGGCGTACCCAAAATTACCCAAAAAACCTATAATGTTATAGCGGGCCACACATTATTTTGTAGTTGATCTTCTTAGCAACTGAAAAACCAACTAGATCGTTTTAGAAAGTGATTGGCCATACCTCAGATGTCCCACAATCACAGTCCTCTCCCATTTCCACCAACTGGTTCCCACAAATTGGAGTGGATATGATATCTGTAGGCAATGGAGCATTAAAGAGGCAATTTGATAATTTATCTTCAAAAAACTTGTCATAGCTGAGACGGCTGCAGGAACTGAAGTCTGTGGGTATATAGAAGCTGTGAAGATAAGGAAAGAAAAACTGGAATATAGTCATGCTTAACATGTGCGAAGCAGTATCTGACATTAGGCACAATTACACCCACGGCCTGCCCCAAAAGACAAAATCCAATCCACTGACCAACTGCCAGATCGTGAGCTCATTTGCATGCCCGAATTAACCCACCTCCAACTTCATGAGAAAATATAGTCATATTTCAATGTGTAGCATCCAGGCCACTTTTAATAAAACAAATATGTCTCTGACTTCTCCAGATAATCTTAGATCATCTGGGAGATGTAAAGACCTAAAGGTACCAAAATATTTATTTACATGTCTCAGAATTCACTTTCCTTTAGAGGAATTCCTATTGATAGGATCTCTTCATCCTACAGATAAAGATGAGGTTTAAAACTGCTGTAATAGAGGGGAGAGTTAACATAAGCTCTGTAACTGGCATGCAGCCATATGCTGTTTTGTACAGGGGCTTTGGAGAATAACCCTAGCTTCAGTGGGCTGAGGGAGGAAATGAAAATAGAAAAGAGGAAATAGAGTTTATAGAGTGAGCTGTATGTATAGAAAAGAGGACATGAATATTTAAAAAAGATTGTGAGATTTTTAAAGATAAGATTGCCTAAAAATTTTGCCTAATTCAGGGAGGGAATGTGTGATGTCTTTTCATAGACTGTCTTCTTTGTCCTATGAGTAGTTTCTTCTTTAATTAGAGTTTTATTCTAGAACTCTTTTCTGACCACCATCTATGCTGAATTCATGGAAAACCTGATAAATGCTAACGATTTTTCTGAAGCCAGGTCTTGTATAGATAAGATGAGGATAAAATGATGAATTGCCCCATCAGCAAAGAGACAATATGTTTAAATTATGTCTTAGTTATTAAAAAATATTACCCATAGATGAGGTGGCTTGGCACAAATGCACATTTAGTGACTCAAAAACTCGAACACGTTGTTGAAGATGACCTAAAGTAGTACAGCCCACAGTGGATCAAAACCAGGGCTACATAGCATGTCCCCAGGGCCCAGAGAGCCTCACCTCAGTGCTTTGTCCATCACACATATTGTAGAAGGACACTTGCAAGAATAGTCGTCATGAAACATTCCAAAGTTGTGGCCCATTTCATGTGCCATTGTCCCTGCAACTCTAAGAAGATTATCGCTGTGGTCCTAAAGGTATGAAAGAAGAAAAAGATTCTCTGATTTTCGAATGAAATTATACATCACTCTACTTGCCATCTCTCTCTCTCTCTCTCTCTCTCTCTCTCACACACACACACACACAAACACACACACACACACACACAGAGCAAGAGAGAGAGAGTACTAAATGGAACTGAATGCCCATCACAGCATATATGGTCTGCCCTTTCCTCTTTGAGTAGGTTCCTATAATGAAGGAAATTGTTCTAGTTTTCTTTCCAAGAAAGATGGCAAATTTTCATCAACAATAAGAAATCAGAACTTTTTTTTAAGTGATCTATCTCCCTTACATTTGGCTTGCCTTTTAGAAGTCTATGATGCATTTGGCCATCAGGGATCTAAAATTGTTCATCAGCCTAGCACTTTAGCTCTACTTGTATCTTTCTCAATTCCATAATTGCCAAGAGTAGACAGACATCAGTCAATTAAAAACTTGCCCATTGCATGAAATCCAGCCTATAGCCAACTTGATCACCAGACTGTTTCTGGTCTGAGGTGCTTGGACTCAACTCCAAGCTTGCAGATAAATTAGAGCTTGCAGCTATAAATTATCCAGGAGCAATAAAACAATGCAGGAGAATCGTTGCAGGTTAAAATGTCCTATTGAGGAGATAAGAATCTGCCAGTAACATCCACCTACAGAAGTCTGATTCTCTTATCTACTTCATCTCAAAGAACTAAATGTAAAGTTTGATGAAGAACAGTACAAGAGTGGCAAACAAGGAACAGCTGTGTAAGTTGGGAAGTTGATACCTAGACACACTATATTCTTTCATTCTTTTGAGATGAACATGGTAAAACCTCCTATATAGAAATATGGAGTGCTCCAAATGGGGAAAAATGCAAGCCAAAAAGCCCCAGAAAAATTAAAATGTGTTTAGAGGCCTATATGAAGTTCCTTTCAGTTTATGGTTTCTTTCTTTAAATAATGGTTTTCCTAACTTGAATGATTTTTGCCCTCGAATGACCTCCATTCTGTCTTGCCCCACTCTAAATCCTACCTACCCTTTGAGGTCCATTTTTTTTTTTTGAGACTGTGTCTCACTCTTGTTGCCCAAACTGGAGTGTAATGGTGCCATCTCTGCTCACTGCAACCTCCGCCTCCTGGGTTCAAGTGATTCTCTTGCCTCAGTAGCTAGAATTACAGGCACCAGCCACTACGTCCAACTAATTTTTTTGTATTTTCAGTAGAGGTAGGGTTTAACCATGTTGGCCAGGCTGGTCTTGAACTCCTGACCTCAGGTGATCCACCTGCCTTGGCCTTCGAAAGTGCTGGGATTACAGGCTGAGGTCCATCTTAATGCAACTTTTCCTGACTATGTTAATATTCATCAACGATCATCTGTTATGAATTCCTAGAATGGTTTTTACTTCCGTAAAGTAGCATTAAGCTACCTACTATATGTTAGAACTATTGCTTTAGGTAGGCCAGTTTCTCTTCCAATTTTATGGCAAGCTATTTCAAGTTTGAAAATATGTATTTTACTTCTTCTGTACATCCATGAAGCCTATCACAAACCCAGACTCAAAAGATAGTAACTAAAAAATATGTTAATTCCATTTCTATCTAGGATGTAGAAAGCTGGAAAGAACATTATTCTTACACTAACAAGGACAAGGCAGGTAGACAACTATAACTTCCCTTGAATCCACCAATAAGTTGGGGTTACAGGACATCCAAAAAGTCTGTGAAAATATATTCAAAATGAAAGTAAGATCGCCTTTCTTAGACAAACAAAACTGAAAGAATTTACTGTATTATAAGGAATGTTTTAAAAAATTCCCTTGAAAGGAAAAAATATATACTAGATAGAAATTAGGATTTTTATAGAGAAGTAAAGAGTGCTGGAAATGCAATGAAGTGATGGTAAATATAAAACTTTTTTAACTTCTATTTTAAGTTCACAGGTACAAGTGCAGGATTGTTACTTACGTAAACTGTGTCATGGGGGTTTGTTGTACAAATGAAAACTAATTTAATTTTAAATTGCAATGAAAGATGGATATCTAAAACAAAATTAATAACAATGTATTGTGTATTTATGGTGATATAAAGTTAAACATATGATAATAATAGCACAATAGATGGGAAGAAAGAGTTAGAGGCATACTCTTAAAAAATCTGTACATTTTTCCCAACACCATTTATTAAATAGAGAATCCTTTCCCCATTGCTTGTTTTTGTCAGGTTTGTCAAAGATCAGATGGTTGTAGATGTGTAGTATTATTTCTGAGGCCTCTGTTCTGTTCCATTGGTCTATATATCTGTTTTGGTCCCAGTACCCTGCTGTTTTGCTTACTGTAGCCTTGTAGTATAGTTTGAAGTCAGGCAGTGTGATGCCTCCAGCTTTGTTCTTTTTTCTTAGGATTGTCTTTGCTATGCAGGCTCTTTTTTGGTTCCATATGAAATTTAAAATAGTTTTTTCCAATTCTGTGAAGAAAGTCAATTGTATGATGGGTATAGCACTGAATCTATAAATTATGTTGGGCAGTATGGCCATTTCCATGATATTGATTCTTCCTATCCATGAGCATGGAATATTTTTCCATTTGTTAGTGTCCTTTCTTACTTCCTTGAGCAGTGGTTTGTAGTTCTCCTTGAAGAGGTCCTTCATATCCCTTGTAAATTGTATTCCTAGGTATTTATTCTGTTTGTAGTAATTGTGAATGGGAGTTCACTCATGATTTGGCTCTCTGTCTGTTATTGGTGTATACGAATGCTTGTGATTTTTGCACATTGACTGTGTATCCTGAGACTGCTGGAGTTGCTTACCAGCTTAAGGATATTTTTGGCTGATACGATGGGGTTTTCTAATTATACAATCATGTCATCTGCAAACAGACACAATTTGACTTCCTCTCTTTCTATTTGAATACGCTTTATTTCTTTCTCTTGCCTGATTGCCCTGGCCAGAACTTCCAATACTATGTTAAATAGGAGTGGTGAGAAAGGGCATCCTTGTCTTGTGCTGTCTTTCAAAAGGAATGCTTCTAGCTTTTGCCCATTAAGTATGATATTGGCTGTCAGTTTATCATAAATAGCTATTATTTTGAGATATGTTCCTTCAATACCTAGTTTATTGAGAGTTTGTAGCTAAAAACTTCATGCTAAACAATATATTAAAAAGATAATGCATTATCAATATGTTGAGTTTACACTGGAATGCAAAATTAGTTCAACATTTGAAATTCAATCAGTGTTATTTACCATGTCAACAGACTACAGAGAAAAACTATCATGATCTTCTCTATAGATTTTTTAAAAAGCATTTGATAAATGTAAATCATAGAACCAACAGTTTATCATCATACAGACCTGAACAACGCCAACAGAATAAGGAGAACACATTGTAGACATAAATGCAAGACCCACAGTCGTTCCAGCAAGTTCTGTTGCTCTGCAAGAAAGGAATAAATTGATGTAACAAATTATAATGCTAAGCTCTATTTTTATAGACAATACATCCAAAACCCTAAATGGTTAGCAGAAAAACTCACTGTGAACCATCACTGTCATATTTTTCTTTAGTTTTTGAATTTGCATAAGGCATTTTTCTATAGAATGGCTTTTGTGTTACTTAAAATCCAAACACCTAGATAGAATTATGTTGAATATTTTCTATCATTTCTGATTATAACACTTTTCATTGTGAGATGTATCCCTTGTGAAGAAAAAGAAAGGCTATTTTTGGTCTTAATAAACATCTGTCTACATGTATCTTGTTTTGATATTAGCAGTACCACACAGGCTTTGTTTTTATTTATATCTTACTCATATTTTTATATCACATACTTTTGTTTTACATTAGCATTGTTTTAGCTACAGTAGGTTTAGGGATTGGGCCCATTTTGAAAGCATTTGTATTAGTGATCATTTATATTATTCAAATAAGTTTTATACTGGAGAGGGGTTTGAATCATTTGCACTTATACTTCCATAGATAATATGTTTTGTCTTTGGTAATTTTAATTTTGCTTTTTTGGTTCCTTTTGATTTTTCTATAAACCTTCAATAATTTCATACTCTTTCCTTTTAGTTTTTGTTTTTTGGTTTTTTTTTTTTTTTTTTTTTTTTTTTTTGCTATCTGTACAAGATCCTGGCCCTTAATTGTCTCTAGAAATTTGCCAAATTGCATCAAGTTTTTAATTTCCTTAGTAGATGCACTTACGTGGGAAATTGAACCTGTATTTTACCATAAAACAATACTAAAAATAGAGAGTTTTAATTCTGCTGTATAAAATGAGAAAATTAGAAAACGTTCCAATTTTTCATTCCCTGCAGATTTTATCTATTTAATCTGATTTCAGATATTTATTTTGAAAATATATTTTACATTATGCATACTTAAAAGGTTTATGATACCTGTTCTCTTTTAAAATTATATCACAAAGTTATTTATACTTCATTCTACATTTTTGTGGTTTCAGTTCTCCCCACTTGCTCATTTGCAAAAAATAACATTTCGTTCATTTTGGAGTTATATATTTTGGTTTATCTTTTAAGTAAACAGTATATTCGGACTCTAATTTTTTTAACCTACTTATACCTAAGTATAGGTCTCTTTTGTTAACTTGTTTGGTAAATGGTAAGACATTAATTGCATAACTGGAAGAACAACTATTTCCTTTCATCGTATCTTTATTCTGATCTCTTCAAGGAATCTATTCTTGACATTGTATCGTCATTTATTTTTACCTATACATTTATCATCTCGTCTATTATTTTTAAGCTTCTACGTTATTACTTACAGTGATGGAGTATTCAGCAATTTGTCTGGCTCCCTTATTACTTACCAGCTATGAGACCTTAGAAAACCACTAAACTCCTCCACAAAGAATGGGCTCTCGAGTCTAAAACTCACCTTTCCAAATTAAGAAATTGTGTCGGCTGCTTCCCAAAGGTGACCCCCTCAATGAACCAGCCTTGCAGTATTCTCAGCCTGAGTAGTGCCTTCCCCTTGAATCTGGACTGGCCCTACAACTTCCCCTTGATTAAGATAATATACCAGTAGTGACACCCTGTGACTTTTGTAGTTAGGTCATAAAAAACCTTGATGCATTATCTCATGCCTCTTGAAATGCTTATTCTGAGAAAAGCTAGACACCTAGTAAGAAGTCCACCTACTCTAAGATAGCCATATTGAAGGAAACTCAAGTTAGGCACATGAAAGGGGATATAGACAGAAACATGACCAACCAGACTCACTGTTCCAGCCAGATGAGCCCACACACCAATTATGTAAGTGAAGAAGCCTTATTTCAAGCCCAGAAATTCAAGCTCATTTGTTATGCAGTTAACAGATGACCAGCACAGAAACATTAACTAATTCTGGCAGGACATAGTTCACTGATTTCCATGAAATTCATGGTTTTCTTAGGTAATAGCCTCTCCAGTAACTTCAAGTCAATCCTTACTGCTTCCTTCTATCTGATTTCAACTAAATATTATCCATCTACCCAGCAGCATTTTCTTGAATGTTTTGAGGCACATGCTCCAGTCTCATATAATTTACAGCCATCAGATTTATTTCCCCTGTTGTTCTTAACAGGTCATTTCAGTGGGAAATAAATTAGTGAAGATGTGGAGTTAGAATATAATACTTAATTTTTCTAATAATATCTTAGATGTTTCTTCTAACTTGAGCCTAAAGCCAATCAGTTGTTTTTTTAAACACTGAATCAAAAACTCTCTTTCCATTATATAAACTTGTCTTTTCTTCTTGTATACCCAATAAAAACAAACATTTTATAAATTATTGCCAAATTATTGACCCTCTCTTTTTTTAAAAAAAATACTTGGATCCAAAATAAGAGCATATTTGACATATAATCCAAGTAAGTGCTCTATAAATGTCTACCCCTCTATGTGCACCCCTCACTTTGCCAAGGCTCAGAAAAGCATCCACTAAATACCACATAGTGTGCAATGGGAGAAAATCTGTACATACGTGATTAACTGAGCAATATCATGACGCTTTCTTCTTGAGAGAACACTCCCCCTCCATTTAGAAAAATTCTCCAAGGTGAAGCTTGCATTTGGGGTTATCTTTATCTTATCCTTGTCAGTCCAGATTTCCATACCAACTAAGGCCACATGAGTATTGAGCTTTTTATAAAGCTGTCCAAAGAAAATAAATGGCAAAGCAATTAATTATAATGGTGATATCATTTTAAACATTTTCAATATATTTTGTATTTTTAAACATTCATCACAGCAGTATAAAAACCTTATTTCCAAGCATATTTGTGAAACAGAATGTATTGACTATTTTGTAGACACTAAAACTCCCATTCAAAACAAAAGATAAATACACTAAGATAGTTTAGGTCCGTAAACTTCTTTTTTGGGTGGGGGGTGGTAGGGAGGAGAAAAGGCCCTGTTAAGACAACATATTCCTGTTTATGCTCTTAAGAAATACTATAATTTTGTGTCAGTGGCCCATTACTATGGCTTCAATTGCTTATATGTTTTTCAGTGCTCTCAGAGTGAGAATATTTCAGAATTAGCAAAGTTGGCTTGGTGCTGGTTTAGGCATGAAAGAAGTAACTTGATATGATGAAATGTTGTACATTGATGCATTTACAATAAGCTAAGTAGTCGCTATAGTTTGAATGTTTGTGTCCCCCAAAATTCATGTGTTGAAATCCTAACTCCCAAGGTGGTGGTGTTAGGAGGTGGGGCCTTTGGGAGGTGATTAGGTCACGAGAGTGGAGCCCTCATGAATGAGATTAGTGCCCTTAAAGAGATCCCCAGAGAATTGCTTTGTTCTTTCTACCATATAAAGGCACAGTGAGAAGGCAGCTGTCTCCAAGCCAGGAAGACAATCTTCACCAGAAACCAAATCTTGATGGAACTTGATTTGGACTTCCAAGCCCCCAGAACTGTGAGCAATAAATTGCTGTCATTTATGAGCCACCCATATTATGTATTTTCAGAATGAGACAATGGTCCTCTAATCTTAAACATGGATTGAACCAAATAATCCACAATGCATATAGGATAAACTTTAGAAATAATGACTTAAACTTATGAAACAATATGCTTACTCTAAAGATAAAAGCTTAAATTACTACTATAGTTTCTAAAAGTGCACAGTGACAGACATTCTCACCAGCAACTTTCTGCTAAGAAACTTAAATATTTCTTTTAAAAAAAAGGTAGTTTGGAAAACAGGAAAAGCATTAAGGAATGCAGTTACTGAAAGTGAAGTTAAAATCCAGCCATGTTATCATCCTTCACTGGATTATTTCCTCAACTTCCTTGTTCCTTTCTTGCTTAATTTTACTCACCTGACAAAACTCCAATCCTGGTTAAAAGCAACTTGCCTCTACATCTCTCTTCCTTCTGCCCTTGAACACAGGGGAAAACACATTGTTCTGATTGCTCTCACTTTAAAGCTGTGACTAAGCTCAAGCAGTCCTTAACGCGTTCCAGCAAAACTGCTGTATTTCCAAATTCCATTCACACGCAGTTTTCTGCACACATTTTTTATGCTCCTCTTCTTAGTAATTCTAACATTTCCTTTGAATCCGACTTTCACAACTGTCCTTGCTTCCACATTCGCTGAGACTATAAGAGCAATCTGAAGAGAACGTCCACAAGCTCCCACCATTGGCTTATCGCCTCACCTAGTCTTGTCCAAACACCTTGCGCCTCCCCATCTGCTATATAAATGAACAATCTCTGAGTCTAAGGCCAGTTTCTCCACTCATGCACTAAATCTCTTATTTCTCCCCCAATCAAGATTATTCCAATAATTCTTCTGTCTTTCCTGCATTATCAATGTTTAGCCCTCCACAAATAATTCCCATCAGCATAAAAAGGAAATGTATTATTTTTTTATTTCATATATATTGACTGTGGTAATCACTTCACTATGTATATGCATATCAAAAGAAGTATATTACAGCATTATGTTGTACAACAACAAAAAATTATCTTTAGAGCATTTATAGGATACCACAAAGAGACTCATTCATTTCAAAATAAGTATGCCAACTATATATCCAACAAACAGAAAACTAAGAAGTAGTATTTAAAGACTGTAAAACCATTTTTTAAATATTTTGGAAATTAGATAACACAATCATGTCTAAAGAACATAGTCAATAGTTGCATGACTCAAATGGGTTTGGAAATCTGACAAATCTGTATTCAAACCCCATGGCTATTCTTTTCTCACTTTGTGATCTTGGGTAAGTTCTTTGTTTCTGAGAATATGATTCCTTAGCTATGCATTAGGCTTTAGTAACATTTAGCGTTGTTCTGGGTATTACATGAGATTTTATGAAATATGCTACTGTGACAGTGCTTGGTATGTTTAAAATTATTTTTTTCCCCTCTGGACCAGCTTTCTGTTGGGATTTGGTCTTCAGCATTTTCTTAGCGGATTTTTGGAAAATACAATGCACCCATGTAGCTTTTATGTCTTCTTATACCTGAGAATACTGTGGCAGGTAAATAAGAAAAGTGTTGGTTTGTGGTATTAATATTCATGTTCACCTATGTAGCAAAAGTTGTGGTCATCCTTTGGGAGCCAGTCAGCCACATTGGTCTCAAATGTCTTGACTTTGCTTCCATGCTTCATGTGCGTTCATTGAAAAACCCAGTGACATCTCCCAGCAAACTGTTTAAAACTGCAGGTAATAAAATATGTCTTACCATGTTGACATAATTAGCCATCTCAAATACCCTCTTTCTGATCTCATCTTGATTCTCATTGTACCTTTTAAACTAAAAGAAAAATTAAGAAAGAATATGGGCATTGATAAAAATGAATATACTTGGAAGGTTAAAAAGGCATCTTCTCTTATATTACTTATTATTGATTTTAATTAAAGATTAGTTATTAGATTTAATTAAAAGTTAGAATCAAATTAATTCCTATTCATCTAGCTACATTAAAGCACTTTGGGAGTGAATATGATGTTTTCTCTTCTGAAGTACTAGCTCAGTATAAAGCTCTAAAGAATTACTCCAAATGTATTTTCACTTAAATTCTATGGTTTTCTAAGGTGTGCAGAATTAACAGAAGGAATATCTTATTAATTTAAGAGACACATACATGAACAGTACATGAATTAAGCACAGTAAGTAAGACCAAAGCTTTAGGGCCTGAGCTAATGGTTGACTTATATTTTCATACACATGTGCATTTTAAATTTTGAAAACACAGTATATGAAAATGCATTCTTACAGTAGAAGATAAACAGTGACTATTACCAAAGATTTGCCTTTTCAGAGGATTCCATTCACTAAGCTTTCATTGTGACCAATTAAGCTTTTGTATTGACTCCCTAATGAGAATAAAGTTTAATTTACAAATGATTTAACAACTTAACAAAAGACAAAATGACAGAAGAATGTAATTGGAAACTAAGTTGGGTACTCTTAAGTCAATAAGAAAATAGTGTTATAAGTGCCAACAATTTATGCATATCATATCAATTGCCCTGATCGCTCTGAAAAGAAGTCATATCAGCTTAATTATAAATGTCAAATTTCATAGTTTTAGAAGAACATGTAACCATAGCTCATATTCATGATTCTTTAAATCTCATCCAGATATTTAATGTCTCACATAATAAATAAATATATGTGGGTGGGAGTTTTGGAAGACAGCACATTTATCTCATATAATTACCTCACCATTATCCAGGACCAAATAATATTCTATGTATTTCTCATGTTCCTGAACCTTCCTGTCTTTCAATTTCTGAAATATAAAGAGTAGAATTACTGATACAATATTGTTTTCTGCAAAAGTTCTTCTATTATTTGACATCTGTAATTTTATAAGCAGTTGGTTGATATCTGGAGTAAAGGCAGACAATATTAGCATTTTAACACCAATTCAACCGACAGGATTATCTACTGACAAGGCTCATAAATTTGGAGGTGAAGGGACACCAGCAATATTCTGGTCTGATTCCTTCCTTTTATCAAGGGGTCTAAATTATGTTACAATAGGGGAGCTAGAAATAAAACCAGTCTTTCTATTGTTTTGAACAGTAGACTTCTTCACCATCCTGACACAAAATAGAGAAAGTTTGACTTCAGCATCCTCCTAGTGTTTTTAGTCAGTTTGTTTTTTTGTTTTCTTTGGTAGCCTTTAATTCATATCCTGGTGAAATACATGCTCCGTTATCAATGGTGCAATGCAGAGACACCATTGTTTCTAGTCTACTTTGTTCTCTTCAGGCAGAGTTGAATCTCCTTCCCATGTTTCAAACTTACCAATGTTCTGTTCCTTTCTCTATCTCAAAAAAAAAAAAAGTTACATAGTGGATTGACTCATTGAAAAGGGACCAACAGATTATTCCTACTAAATAATAGCTCATCAAAGTTTATTAGATTGCATTTCTGGAAGTGCATGTCTTTTAATAGGTAACTAAAGTTCGATTACAAAGAAGAAACTCCTGAAGATAGATTTTTAGGTATTATCTGATGAGACATGTACTTACTTCCTACCCTCCATGGGAACGAAATATTTATTAGCACTTACAATACACTGAGAGTGCTCTGGGAACTGCAAATGCAGTAGTGAAATCACCATGTGAGCTCCATCAGCAGAGAGACCAAGAGACAAACATAAACATATCAGATGGTGGCCAGTACTATGTGAAGGATTAAAGTGGGCATGTGACATTGAGTTACTAGGTAGTTATTTCAGAATAGGTGAAATTCTCTAAAGAGCTGGCCCTCAAGCAGATGTATTAACGAAAATGAGAAGCCAGGCAAGGAAAGAGAAATTGGAAGACAATTCCAGCAGGGAAAAAAAATGAGTAAATAGACTCCAAGGTGAAATAGTATTGGCATATTTAGAGCATAGAAAAAAAGTGCTTGTGTTTTTATAACATAATGGGGGAGGTCACCAAGAGACGGGGAGTAAAGAGTAGGAGGAGACCAGAGAGGTCTATGGGACCACAATCGTATAGGGGTTTGTGACCCATGGTCAGTTGTGTGGCTTTTATACTAAATGCAATGGGAAGACATCGGAGGGCTTTGAGCAGAAAACGGATGTGATGTGATTTACAATAAAAATAGCACTGGATTGATTGTGTGGAGTGTGGATTCTGCTGAACGAGGATGGGCAGGTCAGGCAGAGGCTGTTGCCATGGTTATTATGAGATGGCACCTTGGGGTAGTCAGAAAAGGGAGCAAAGTAAAAGATCTGAAATATGTCGGAGGCACTTGCTGATGGATACCATATAAGGCGGGATGAAGAAAAAGAGAATCAAGGATAATTTCTAGATCCAAATTTGAACAAATGATGAGTGGTGGTAGTGTTAAGTAAAATGGGGAGAATGAGAGAGAAGTAGGTTTTGTTTGTGGTTTAGAAATTGGTAGTTCTTTTGGGGGCATATTTTAGGTTTGTGATATCAGGTGTTTGAGTAGATATATTAAAAAGATAATTATAACAGTCTGGCCTTTAGGAGAGGGGCAGAGGCTAGAGATAAACGTCTGATGGCCATTAGTGCACAGTTCCTATTTAAATAAGGCACAGGGCAGGGTAAGATTACCTAGGAAGAATGTATAGATAAAGATCCAGGATTGAGCTATGTGAGGTTCTCTAATATTTACCAGTCAATCAGAGTAAGGGTGACAGAAATGAAATGAGGAGTAGCACTCCTGAGGTAGAGGAAAGCCAAAACGATAAAATGTCTCAAAAGCAAAGCTCTTTCCACGTAGTTACCAAGGAATGGAAACAGAGGGATAAGAGGCCCTGTACAAGCAAACCCAGGAGTTGATATTCACAGCAACATATAGCTAGGAGTTTCACCAACTTCTGGCCAATCAAAGGTGGCCAACTGTTCAAACCGTGTTCAAGTAAGGCAAACATCAAGCTGTAACCGGTGCAGCTGTTTCTGTACCTTAATCCATTTTTCTGTATGTCATTTTTCTGTCTATAAATCCTCTCCAACCAACGACCAGCATGGAATTGCTCTCAACATCTTCTGGTTCTGAGGGCTGCTGGATTCTCAAACCTTTCTTTGCTCAATTAAACTCTGTTAAATTTGTCTACTTTTTGTCCTTAACAGTCCTCATATTGTACCCTAGATCTTTCAACTGCTTAACCCCGCATATTTGGCTACTTGGTATCCTTAGACCCGAATCTCCCCATTTCCTGTCCCTACCTAGACCCTGGTAACCACTGTTTTATTCTCTACCTCTATATATTTGACACTCACCCTCACCCCCTTTTTTAGATTCCTTTTCATTTTGTTTGTTTGCTTTGCTGTGCAGAAGCTTTTTCGTTTGATATAGTCTCTTACATTTTACTTTTATAACCTTAGCTTTTAGGTATGATATTTAAGAAGTCATTGTCAAGGTTAATGTCAAACAGCTTTTCCCCTCTATTTTCTTTTAGGAGTTTTATGGTTTTAGGTATTACATTTAGGTTTCTTTTTCATTTTGATTTGAATTTTAGTTATGGTATAAGAAAAGGGTTCGATTTCATAATTTTGCATGTGGATATCCAGTTTTCCCAGCACTATTTATTGAAGAGACTATCCTTTCCCCAGTGTGTCTTTTTGGTGCCCTTGTCAAAAATTAATTGAACGTATATGTTTGGATTTATTTCCGAGATTGCTATTCTCATCCACTGGTCTAGGTGTCTGGTTTTATGCCATTATACTCTTTCGATTACTATATCTTTGTAATATAACTTTAAATCAGGTAGTATGATGTCTTTTTTTTTCTCAGAATTCCTTTGACTATTTGGGATATTCTGTGGTTCCATACAAATTTTATGATTTTTTTCTGATTTCTGTAAATACTGTCATTGGGGTTTTTATAAGGACTGCATTGAATCTACTCATTGCTTTAGGTAGTATGAACATTTTAACAACATTCTTCTAATTCATGAGCATGGGATATTCATTTATTTGCATTTTCTTCAATTTCCTTCATTAATGTTTTATTGTCTTCGGTATACAGGTCTTTCACCTCCTTAGTAAAATTTATTCCCAAGTATTATTTATGTTATAAATGGAATGGTGTTCTTGATTTCATTTTTGGCTAGGTTGTTATTCGTGTATAGAAATGTCACAGATTTTGTATGTTGATTTTATATCCTGCAACTTTATTGAACTTATTTGTTAGTGTTAATGGTTTTTCAGTGGAGTCATTAGGGTTTTTTACAGGTAGAATCATTTCATCTGCAAATAGAGGTAATTTTACTTCTTCATTTCCAAGTTGAATGTGTCTTTTCTAAATGCTTTTGATAGTACTTCTGGTACATGTTTAATAGAAGTGGTAAGAGTAGGCATCCTTGCCTGGTACCAGAAGAATGGCTATTTCTGCTTTCCGATTGATTATGATGTTATCAGCGGCTTTCCATAAATGGCTTTTAATTTAAAAAATAAATAAGGAGAAAGAAGAGTGGGCAGGTAAACCTTAATGCTTGGGCTGAGACATATTTTAGAGTTTCACATCATTCCAGCTTCAAATAAAATAATGCAACAGTGTTCTTAAATTTTCATTATTGTTTAATCATCAACAACTGCATTGCACACTATCAACATTTGTGTGGTTGCTGAAAGCCTATGATTATGTCCATTCAACCACACCTTTCTTATCAAAACTCGAATTCCAACTAAGCCAAGGATAAAAGTTATATATTAAATGAATTTCAGTAGAAGGCCCACATATTTGAGCAAGCACTTACTTTTATGAAGAAAGAAGAATATAAGAATGACAAAATCTCTGAAATGTAACTGGCATGTAAAAAACTTTATTTGGTTTTGGAAAAACATGTTCCTAGCTGCTATAGAATGTTTACAAATATCCTAAATCAAGATAATTTGTAGCATTTTATGAGAATAAAATAAGGTATATTTGACTGCTAAAAAATATAAATAAATAAATAAATAAATAAATAAATAAATGGCCTTTATGATGTTGAGGAACTTTTCTTCTATGCCTAAACTCTCAAATCAAGAACCATTAACTCCACACCATTATTTAACTACCTAAACTTTTAATCAAGAAAGCATGTTAAACTTTGTTTAATGCCTTTTCACCAATTGATATGATCATGTATTTTTTGTCTTTCAGTCTGTTGATATAATTGATATACTACATTGATCAATTTGTGTAGGTTAAGTCAGTATACCAAGGATAAGTCCCATTTGATTATGATGTATAATCTTTTGGATGTGTTGTTGAATTTGATTTGCTAATATTTTATTGAAAATTTTTACCTCAGTGTTTGTCAGAATTATTGGCCTGTAGTTTTCCTTTCTTTGGCGTCTTTGTCTTGGGTTAGGTATAAAGGTAATGCTGGGCTTGTAACAAGTACTAAGCAGTACACCTTCTGTCTCTATTTTTTTGAAAATTTTAAAAAGTATTGGTAATAATTCTTCTTTGAATGTTTGATACTTTTCAGCTCTAGAGCCATCTAGTCCTAGGCTTTCTTTGTTGAAAGATTTTTAATTACTATTTCAATCTCTTTGTTATTGGTCTGTTCAGGCTTTCTACTTCTTTCTGATTCAACCTTTATAGGTTGTATTTTTCTAGGAATTCATCTATTTTCTCTAGGCTATCAAATTTATTGACAAATAATTTTTCATATTAGTCCTTTAAGATCTTTTTTTCATTTCTGAGACATCTTTTGTAATATCTCCACTTTCATTTCTGATTTTATATATTTGAGTTTTCCTCTTAGTCTGCCTAAGAGTTTGTCTATTTTGTTACCATTTGCATGGAATATGTTCTTCCATCTTTTTCTTTCAGCCTATGCATGTCTTTAAAGCTTAAAAATGTCTCTTGGAGGCAGCATATAGTCAGATCTTGTTTTTTCAGCCATTCAGCCACTCTTTATCTTTTGATTGGAAAATTTAATCCATTTACATTCCTAGTAATTATTTATAGGTAAGGATCTCCTACTGCCATTTTGTTTTATAGATTTCTTTTTCATTTCTTCCTCCCTTGTTTATCTTTGTGATTTGGTCATTTTTCTGTAGTGCTGCATTTTTATTCTTTTCTCATTATCATTTGTATCTGCTATAGTTTTTTTTTTTTTTGTATTTACCGTGAGGTTTACATAAAACATCTTATAGTTGTAATGGAGTATCTTACACCAATAACAACTTAACTTCAGTCATGTATAAAAACTCTAGACTTTTATCTTCCCCCTGACAATTTATACTTTTAATGTCACAATATACATATTTTATATTATATATTTCTTAACAAATTATTATGGGCATCATTATTTTTTACTCATTTGATTTTTAAGTGTCATACTAGAGATATATGTGATCTACAGAGCACTTAAAATATTGGAGTATTCTGGGTTTGACTATACATTTACCTTTACTACTGAACTTGCTGGTAGAATTTAAACCTACAGAAAATTAAACTGACTAGAAATTTTATTTAGACCAATTATACCCTTTGCTCACAGACTCTGAGAACATTTAAAAGAAATGATTGGATTTGAAATAAATCTTGGAAATAAAAGCAGTATCAATAAGAAATAAAAGTAAGGTCAACAAAGATATTTTGATATATACAGTCTAAAACACAAAACTATATTCATTTATCTCCTATGACTAGAAGCAGAATTCCACACATAAAATAATATTCTAAGTTCCTGTAGCCAGATTCTATGTCTATTTTGCTCATTTCTATCTTCCCAGCACCTGTGACAGCACTTTAAGAGAGATTTGTTGAATGAATTTATGATGACAGCAAGATATTTCAAAATAATAATAATCACTTCATAGCTTTTTGGCTAAAATCAAGAGTAAATTAATAATAATACTTTATATCTTTGTGGTTTATTGTAGGCTACAGGGAATAGTGTGACAGATTCCTGCTTCTAGAGGGCAGTTATATTTTACACTTATTTTTAACCTTTGTACATTGCTGAAAATAATAGTTGATTCCGGCTAAGTGCGGTGGCTCATGCCTGTAATCTCAGCACTTTGGGAGGCTGAGACAGGTGGATCACCCGAGGTCGGGAGTTGGAGACCAGCCTGACCAACATGGTGAAACCCTGTCTCTACTAAAAATACAAAATTAGCTGGGCATGGTGGCACATGCCTATAATCCCAGCTACTCAGGAGGCTGAGACAGGAGAATCACTCAAACCTGGGAGGTGGAAGATGTGATGGGCCAAGATCACACCATTGCACTACAGCCCAGGCAACAAGAGTGAAACTCCATCTCAAAAAAAAAAAAAAAATAGTTGATTCCTAAGTACTTGTTAAATGAATCATTAATGTCTAGCAATATTTAAGGATTAGTGTCTCTATAACTTACTAATTTTGACAATGACTATAGTTTCAGTAAATTGCACTGCTAATTCTGGAAACCAGGGCAGAATACATGAGAGCATTTCAAATAAATAAAGTTACACATACTACTAGTTTGGTGGCAGGTAGGGCAATGTTCTGCTGCAAATCGTGGGCCCACAACACACCATCCATCCCACAGGTGCTGTCATAATTCTTTTCATCAGGGTTATACTTGAAGAGTGCATGCTCCTGTCCATCCCGATGTATGGGGCTTAAAGGTTCAATAAAGTATCTTTGATCCCCCTGACTGAAGTAGCCCCTGAAAAAACATGAGAGTTCTGGCTTCTTAACAAATATTGTTGCATTAGGTTCATACAGATTTATAAGATCCAAAAGAGGACCTTTAAAATTCCTAGTCAATGTCAAAAACAATTTAAGCTCATGGCAATAAAATACAGTAAAACTTACAGCTGAAGATACCTTGAAGATTATCTAAACTTATTTTCTACAAGGAAATAAGACATATTAAGGAGAAGTGACTGCTGCAGTGTTGTACAAGCAACCATATCAGTTCTGGCACTAGAATGAATATTTCCTGACACTTGGTACAGCATTCTTCCAATTTTAATGCTATACTTGTTCTAAAGGTACACTTATAATGAAAAGGATTTTAGAGTTTTATAGATAAGTGTTAATATACTGGCTTTATAACTCATTCACTGTGATACATTTGGAAAATTCTTTAAACTCACAAGCCTCAGGTTCTCCACATTTATTTGTCTTAATACCTACCTAATATAGTGATAGTAAAGATTGAATGAGAGAACATGTAAAGCACATGACAAATAAATATTATCAATTTCTTCTCAATTTTCTCTGCTAAAGCCTTGAACCAGGGTTCATTCAACCAATATTCATTGAGTACCCATTATTCATTAGGCATTGGACTAAGGGTAGACAGCAAAAATAAAGACATGGTCTCTTTTCTTATGGAGCTTATGTTCAAATGAGGAAAATGGATGTGTATCAAATAATCACAGAATATATATAATTATATAGTAAGTACTTATATATAATTATAATAATTGATGTGAAGAAAAAGTACAAGAGATATAATAGACAGACTGAATTAAATGTACATAAAATTAGATAATGGCAAGAGTGGATATAAGAAGATAAATTATGGGGTTTATTGCAATGGTCTGCATAAGGAATCATGGTAGATGGACTAGGATATCGTAGTAGAGACAGAATGAACAATTTCAGAAAGTGTTTAGAAGATAGAATCAATAAGACTTGGTAAGGGATTGAAAATGCAGGGCTGAGGGGCAAGCAGACCTCAAGGAATTTAGGTTTCTGAATTGGGCAAGTGATTATCTAATTATACCATTGATTAAAATAAAGAACATGGAAACCATACCAGATTCAAAAGACAATCATTAGTTTGGTTTAAGGCATACTGAGATTGAGGTTTCTTTAAGATATCCAACTGAAAATATGAAAAAGAAAATTAGATAATCAAGTCTGGACATCAGAAGAGCCACCTTACTATAGATTACTATATATAGACAGATGCATAGTATATCATTAACAGACAGAATGGTATGTCATAGTCATGGATAAGGCAATCTAGAGAGAGAGCGAGTGAGAGCTTAAAGTGGGGAGAGAGTCTGGGGGTGGTGGCTCATGCCTGTAATTCCAGCACTTTGGGAGGCTGAGGCGGGCAGACTACTTGAGGTCAGGAGTTCGAGACCAACCTGGCCAATATGGTGAAATTCTGTTTCTATTAAAAATACAAAACCTAGCCAGGTGTGGTGGCGGGCATCTGTAATCCCAGCTACTCGAGAGGCTGAGGTAGGAGAATCACTTGAACCCAGGAGACTGAGATTGCAGTGAGCTGAAATCGCACCACTATACTCCAGCCTGGTGACAGAGCAAGACTCCATCTAAATCAATGAGTAAAATAAAGTGAAGAGCGAGAAGAGAGAGCAGCTCCCATTACCTAAAGATTCTGACTCCAGAACTGGGATTCAAAATCCTGTATTTTAAAACTAAACTAACAAAAATATATTTGAAAGCAATTCGGATATGTAATTTACAAGCCACTATCAAGAGAAGCGGTGTTTCTTCAAATTTCAAAATGTTATGGCCCTTATGATTTATATTCAACTATATAAAAATTAATGATATTTGGGATTCATCTGGTTGGTTAGATACATACATAAATACCACAATCACAGGTACATGCAAAACATTCCTGAAGTCTTACCTTAGACCCCTACATGTGCTGATGCTAGCGTCAGAAACCTTTTCATTAAGAATATGTCCTTGATAATAACAATCATCCTAAAGGAAAAGGGGTTTTGTAAAGAGAAGTACATGTGAATTTTAGCACCGCTGCTAAAGCCGCATCTGAAATCTTGAAACAGGATTTTAAATGCTTTCAAACAATATTCTGCTGTACAACAGTAAACTAAGATGTTTAAAAAATAATTAAAATCTTTCATGTAAGTTAAAATTGTTAATGTCAGTTAATGATCCCAAAATGTTTACAAGGTATTAACTGTCAATGTTGACTAAGTAGGATGAATGTCAATAATACTTAGATGGAATAAACTTGGATATGTCAGTTTAAAACCTGAGCTCCTAAAACACTGGACACTCATTTTTCCTTTTGGCCATTTTCTCATTAACTTCTTTCTAGCAAAGATCTACAAGCTTTTTTCCAAAGGATAGGTTATTTAGATTGGGTTTTTGTTTTTTCTTTCTTGATTTATCAAAAGCGTTCCATCAGATTAACTGGATCAGCACATTTCTTGCCTCCATTTGGAGCAAAATGCCCTTCTTAACATTTTTTCGTGTGGGTGTTCCATGAAGGACCTTTCTAGTTCGGGACAGATGAGGTGTTGACCCATGTAAACTCTGATATTATTGCTACAGAGAACAATGCTTGAAGGGCTTCCCATGGAAAATGGAGCTCAGAAAAAGAGGTAATGGTGCATGACCCCTCACATGGCTACACACTGTCATCTGCTCAGTCTAAGAAAAGATGGGCTATGAATAGCAGTAAAGAGAAATTGTTTAAGAAAAGCAATTCTGCAATTGCCATTGAGGAAATAGTCTTGGCTGAAGAGACCACAAATCCAGAGAAATGATAGAAATTGATTGAGAACACCAGAGGTATGTAACTCTTCACTCTCAAGAAAATAACATGCTCCTTCTACCCACCCTCCTACAGGGGTCCTTAAAGGCTGGAAAAACTTACCGGAGTTGCCAAGAAATTGTTTTGTTCTTGTTAATTGATTTTCCACTTTTCTTTTTTTTATATTTTAAGTAATGGCTACTGCTGAAAAAAGCACTAATGTTACAAATGCAGTTTCACTTCTATTATTTGCCTGGCAAGGACACTACCTTTAGGTCTGTGGGTAAAACCCTAATTAAAGAATTGAAGAGACTCCGTTATACCATAATTTGTGGGCTTGTGGTGATCTCCTTTCCAGTGGAATTATAATATGTTTCCGTGTAGCCTGGTGCAAGGAGGTTCCTGGAGAAAGAAACACAAAAATGTTGTGGTTACTTGTGCTGATTGCTAAGTCCATGGAAATTCTCAAGTCATTTGAGAGCAAACGCTGATTAGTCCAGGTTTGTGTGAGCCATAAGCAGCAACAGACTCAGCACACTCTCCATAGGCTGCCTTGCTCTTGCTGAGGATAATATCACAGGTAAAGATACTTACTTGTTTTTTTTCAAATAAAGCACTGCAATTTTTCCATTAATTGTCATTTTATACTTTAATTCAGTTTCAAATTGTTCCTGCAAAAATACACAAACATTTACTTGTAATTAAAAACATATTCATTTGACTATTATATTTCTATCTGTGTAGTCATTAGCAAGCAATATCTATTTTTTAGCAGTATAATACCAAATACTTGCCTCTTCCCCTCTTGACAGATCAAACAACTCTGGCAACTAAATAAACAAATTATCTGAGAGCCTTTTATCCATCCACCCTTCCAACCATCCTTCCATCCATCCATCCCTGCATTTTAAAGTATCGTTTGAGTGAGTGCTGTTTCTTTGCAAGATACTGCTTGGTTTTGAAAATTCTACTCTAAGCAAGAAAAATTGGTACGTACTGTCAGAGAGCTTATGATCTTGTGAAAAGACAGACAATGAGGTGAGTTATGTGCATGATAATGGATGTATATAGTAGGATGTCTCACATCTTAAAGCCAGGAAAGGCTTTTTTGAGGAAGTAATGTTTAAAACGACACATAAATTACCCAGGTGAAGTGAGTAAGGGAAGTTAACTGATTAGAAGGAATAGTGTACACAGACGCCTAAAAACTTCTATCACATCTCATGATTTTTGGTCTTGAAGTCTTCTCAAGACTAACTGGAACATAAACTATGAGAAACATAACAGGAATGTATACTGTAATGTGAGGAAGAACCATCAAGAAGAAACCACAGTCCCAGGTATTTAAGAAGGAAGAAATATTACCTCGGGTAAACCATGTAAAAGGAAAATTATTTTAAACTTGGATATTGGTATATAAGGAGAGCTATTGAGGACTACACAGAATTATTTTAAAGAAGATGTTTTGGGGTACTAAGTTCTGACTTTGGTCTATAAAACAGGGTTATTGGCTGTGGTTGCACTCAATATCTAAAAAGTTATTAGGAAGTGCCTCGTTATTGTCATTAAAGATATCTAAATATGGTAGACCAAAGGTTGTTGAGAAACACATATTATGGACTGAGTTCTGTTTCTTCTGCTGTGGTGCACCTAAGCTCAAGCCTTCCTTCTCTCCCTCCCCTTCTGGCCGGTATGGTATCTGAGCTCACAGACAGACAAGGCATGTTAGAATCATCAGATCATGAGCACCGTGCTGGGATTTAGCCCTCTCCAAAGTCAATTCTTACAGTCCATACTTTGCTTAAATCCTCAGTTGTTGAGGTCTGCTCTGCTGTCAGTAATCCCAGGCTATAAATTTCCCCCAAATGTGGGCCTAGATAAGTAGAGGTTGATGGACTCAGCTTATTTTCATGGATGACAGGAACTGGAAAGAGAAAGGGCATTGAAAATAAAAGTTATGCAGAATAGTCATAACCTCTTACTGTTCAGGATTAAGAAAGCCTAGCTAGAATGAAGCCATGAGAATGATACCAAATATGGTCTTCTACCAGAAATGGCCTTCCAGATATCTGCTTCCTGTTCAGCAATGGCTTTTTAGTAGATTTAGTTACTAAAACTTTAGCTGAAGGTTGTTTTAGAAAAGAATAAATGCTTTTGGAGTGGAGTTTTGGTTAACACTGGCATAAAGATTATGGATGGAAGGAAAGATGAAGGAAGAAAGCCAGGGCCTCTATGAAAGAGAGTACACTGGGTAATGTAATAATAATACTTTTGAAAGAGAGTTCCCTGGTGGAGAGCAAGGTTTGAGGATAAGAAGTGTGTTCTAGTTGTGTACTCTGTAGGTTCTGAAGTATGCATCAAGAGAAGTAAGATGCACCTTGATTTGGAGAGCACTCACTATAAGGAAATGATTTTGGTTTTACTGAGTAAGACTAGCTGACCACAGAAACATATAGATCCAAATTTCCTCTAAAATAATGACATGGGTCTGATTTAGTGGGTGGATTGGGAAAGCCACAGTCCTGGATGTTTCTGGGATGGAGCAAATCTGTAAGGTCTAGGGGATGTCAATGGGCACACAGGAAATATCAAGGGCAGCCGTAGAATACACAGAGAGGTTCTTAATTCTAGTAATACAACAGTTGTTCAAAACTTACAGTAAATCCGTGAGCTCTAGAAACCCTGCTAAATCAGCTAATGGGCCTGAAAGAATTCTCAATCTGAGGGAGGAATTGTGCTGTAAGATATTTTCTTTTACGACATGGGCCAATACCAAGATGGTTTGGGCCTCTAAGAACATGTACAATCTGGATGCTGAATTCTCTGAAGAATAGTTACTGTCTTTAGAATTTAAGTTCCCAGCATCAGGGACTTTCACAGAGTATAGGTTAAATATGCATCTATGGAGGTTTATGGGTAATATGCTCCAGTCATAAACATTTATTCATTTGTCCATTAGTTTACTTACTCATTTGGTCATTTATTTAACACATACTTATTTAGTCCTTATGTCATTCATATAAATACAATCGTGAATATGATTATGAATAAAATATTCAAAGTTCCACCTTGTTCTTTACTCCCAGCCCCCAAAAATTTTTACACAGGATTATTTCAGTCTAGCTGAAATATTAAGCAATGTGGCATGTGTGATCAAGTCAGAAAGATGACGTCACAACCCTGGCGTAGCTGACAGGTAAAGCCAGTGCCTCAGTTCTCTGGTTGTATAATAAAACAACACAGGGCACAGTTGTATAATGATAACTACAAAAGTCTTCCATCTGTTCACTGTCTTGAGAAGTGAAGCACTTAATCTAGGGTGAGACCTATGAAGCTTTCATGGGATATACAGAGATCCCCTTGATCAGAAGGGTGGTCAACTGCACTATGAATTTGGGATCGTTTCAAATAGTATTTGCTAATCAAGTCTTTGCACAGGGAAGACCCATAGTCTCAACACAGAAACTACAAAGATAACTCCTAAAACTTGGCTTATATCTAGAAGACAGTGTTCTTATTAGTCATAAGGTGTGCCTGAGAGACTATAGAAGAGTCTATGCCAATGGAAATCATGTATTTGTTGTGTGGCAAACAAAGATGTCACTAGCTTCTTCAGTCTATGTTTGTAAAACAACTGTGATATGGCAGAACCCAAGAACCCTAACAGGGCAGGAGTGAGATATGAGGCATGCAGCAGCATTAGGAACCTTAGATCTGTGGATAGGACAGAATCTGGAATCATGGACAGATTGCTAGGGCTTAGTTCTGGATGCTCACAGGGTGATATCAAAAGCCACAGGATAGGATTGCCAGATAAAATACAGGATGCCAATTAAATGTGAATCTCAGATAAACAGAGAATATTTTTTTGTTTATACATAAAAACACACAATACTTTTTAAAATACATATGCCCCCTATGACCATGGTGACATACTAATGAAATATTTGTTGTTTATTTGAAATTTAACTGGGCATCCTATATTTCTGTTTGCTAAATGTGACAATCCTGCACATGGAGGAGTTTAGAAGATGTGGGAAAGAATAGAAACTAGAGATCAGCGACTAAGGAAAAGAGATGCAAATGCACTAGCTGGGAAAATTAGATTCATTCTGTTGGAATGCTTCTTTATAATTATATCAGAAGTGTTGTGTGGAACATATATATATATATTTTTAAATATATATATATATATATATATTTATTTATTTATTTGTATTTGAGATGGAGTCTCACTCTGTCACCCAGGCTGGAGTGCAGTGGCATGATCTCAGCTCACTGCCACCTCTGCCTCCCAGGGTTCAAGTGATTCTCCTGCCTCAGCCTCCTGAGAAGCTGGTGTTACAGGTGCGCACCACCACACCCAGCTAATTTGTGTGTGTGTATTTTTAGTAGAGACAGGGTTTCACCATGTTGGTCGGACTAGTCTCTTAACTCCTGACCTCGTCATCCACCCGCCTCGGCCTCCCAAAGTGGTGTGGGACATATTTATACAAAAAAGTTTTACTGTTTGTCTGAAATTCAAACTTAACTGGTACTCTGTATTTCATCTGGCAACCCTGTCATGCGGTTTTTGATATCTCCCTGTGAACAGCTGGAATTAAACCCTGGCAAAACTTACTGCTAATGGTTTAGCCACATGGTTATTGTGGGGTAATTCAAAGGTGTCACCTGACACCTGAGATATTAAAAAGTAAACATGGGAGAGTTATATTTATTTCTGAGATGCTGTGGAAGCATTCAGTGCTCATTCCATTATATTCATCAGGCCTCATAATATATTCTCTTCTACACTCTTCAACCAAAGGGAGCAGGAGAGAACTTGGAAATGTAATAGATGAAACTAAAAAAATAAAAGATTTTCCATTTAAAGGAACATTAAAAGGTTCTAATTGTTTAGGTAATTTTTTCTTCAATTATCTATGGTGTTTATTTAATACTCTTATTTCCTTTAAAGATAAAATTAATGTGCTTTGCAAGTATTTATTTAGACCAACATGTATTAATGAAACAAGTATTTATGTTCCAGGACAAGGATTGGCAGGTGAGGGTGAAGGAGGAGTAGAGACATAGCAAAGACATATTTTAAAAAAAAAAAAAAAAAAAAAAAAAAGAAACCTCTTAAAAATTTACCTGGACAGTTTCAAACCAGAAGTGAAGGTTACACTTGCTCTCATAGAAACACATGCACACACACACATACACACACTTGTGAACACACCATCGCTCCTGACACAAAATCAACATTTCTTTTTAAAATCAGTAGCTAAACTTTATAATACTGACTGTGACTGACGCACGATTTCAGGATAGGGATATATTAGTGTATATATGAATATGGCAAGTCAGCTTAACAAAGACTATAAGAGACTCTAAATATAGAGTCCCCTAAATGGGAGGGACTCTAAATGTAGAGAGAATATTTTAAGTAGCAAGAAATCCATTAAAAAAAACATAGAAGTAGAAACAAGAATATTATTAAGAAAAGCAACCTGAAGTTGATAATTTATGTCGAAAAGAAGAATTTTAAAATAAAGGTTTATTAACTGGGACATGAAGCCACAAAAACTGAAAATTAGTCATAAGAACTGGAATATGATGGGCTACACAGGGCAGCACCATAGCATAATCTATTTTTTTTTTTTTTTGAGAAGGAGTTTCACTCTTGTTGCCCAGGTTGGAGTGCAAATGACGTGATCTCAGCTCACTGCAACCTCTGCCTCCCAGGTTCCAATGATTCTCCTGCCTCAGCCTCCTTAGTAGTTGGGATTAGAGGTTTCCAATGATTCTCCTGCCTCAGCCTCCTTAGTAGTTGGGATTAGAGGTACCCACCACCACACCCAGCTAATTTTTTGTATTTTTGATAGAGACAGGTTTCACAACCTTGGCCAGGTTGGTCTTGAACCCCTGACCTCAGGTGACCCACCCGCCTCAATCTCCCAAAGTGCTGGGATTACAGGTGTGAGCCAATGCACCCAGCCCATAGCATAATCTTGAATAGGGAGTTAAAATTTGGATCCTTCCTTGCTTTTCATATACATTATCCCCAAATATTTATACAAGTATTATGATCATCTCCACTTTAAGACAAGAAACGTAAGGTTTATGTTTGTCTAAATTTATACAGAGAGAATGGACAAAATTTACAGGTGAACACAAACTAATCCTCTGAATTCAGCTCCTATATACTTGCACTATGGATCAGGAAAATGTAAGGTTCATGTAGCCATTTAACCTAGTAATGGACTAGATAAATAATATAACTGCAGTAAATATCAAGCACATTATATCAACCTCATCCACCTAGTCAATCATTGCAAAAATTAATATTGTTCATCTAGTATGAGCCAGTAACTAGTCTATGGCTTTCGTTAATCAAAATATATATTCAAAACTCAAATTTATTTTTTACAGTCGTGAGGAAATCACTTCACAGCTGTGATTAAAAACACTTCACTTGTGTTTAAATTTTCCTCAAAATGTTCAGTGAAAAAAGGGTGTTTGGTGTGCACGTGCATGTGTGTGTGTGTGTAAATGTTGGGTTTTCTTGGAAGCATTGTTTACTGTGAGAAAAAAACACATAAAGAGTAGATAATTAGTGTAAATTTCCACAAGGACACAATTAATCATTGGTTTAGTAGCAAAAGGTTGATAACAAAGAAGATACAGGTGAACTTGTAAAATTTCAGCTGATGGCTAACAAGGGAAGTGAAGGACCTCTTCAAGGAGAACACAAACCACTGCTTAAGGAAATCAGAAAGGACACAAACAAATGGAAAAACATTCCATGTTCATGGATATGAAGAATCAATACTGTGAAAATAGCCATACTGCCCACAGTAATTTATAGAATCAGTGCTATTCCCATTAAACTACCATTGACATCTTTCACAGAATTAGAAAAAAATTACTTTAAAATTCATATGAAACCACAAAAGAGCCTGTATAGCCAAGACAATCTTAAGCAAAAAGAACAAAGCTGGAGGCATTATACTACCGGACTTCAAGGTGTATTACAAGGCTGTAGTAAACAAAACAGCATGGTACTGGTACAAAACAGACACATAGACCAATGGAAATGGATAGAGAGGTCAGAAATAAGACCACACATCTATAATCCTCTGATCTTTGACAAACCTTACAAAAACAAGCAATGGGAAAAAGATTTCATATTTAATAAATGGTACTGGGAGAACTGGCTAGCCACATGCAGAAAATTGAAACTGGACCCCTTTGTTCCACCTTATACAAAAATTAACTCAAGATAGATTAAAAACTCAAATGTAAACCCAAAAACTATAAAAACCCTAGAAGAAAATCTAGGCAATACCATTCAGGACATAAGCACAGGCAAAAATTTCATGACAAATCATCAAAAGCAATTGCAACAAAAGCAAAAATTGACAAACGGGATCTAATAAAACTAAAGAGCTTCTATACAGCAAAATAAACTATCATCAGAGTGAACAGACAACCTACAGAATGAGAGAAAATTTTTACAATCTATTGATCTGACAAAGGTCAAATATGCAGAATCTACAAGGAACTTAAATTTATAAGAAAAACAAACAACCCTGAACAATGAGAACACATGGACACAGGATGGGGAACATCACACACTGTGGCTTGTTGTGGGGAGGGGGGAGGGGGGAGGGATAGCATTAGGAGATATACCTAATGTAAATGATGAGTTAATGGGTGTAGCACACCAACATGGCACATGTATATATATGTAACAAACCTGCACGTTGTGCACATGTACCCTAGAACTTAAGGTATAATTTTTAAAAAAAAGTGGACAAAGGACATGAACAGACACTTCTCAAAAGAAGACATTCATGCAGCCAACAAACATGAAAAAAGCTCAACATCACTGATGATTAGAGAAATGCAAATCAAAACCACAATGAGATACCATCTCACACCAGTCAGAATGGTGATTATTAAAAAGTCAAGAAACAATAGATGCTGGCAAGGCTGTGGAGAAATAGGAATGCGTTTACACTGTTGGTGGGAACGTAATTTAGTTCAACCGTTGTGGAAGACGGTGTGGCAATTCCTCAAAGACCTAGAACCAGAAATACCATTTAACCCAGCAATCCCATTACTGGGTATATACCCAATGGAATATAAATCATTCTATTACAAAGATACATGCATGCACATGTTCATTGCGGCACTATTCACAGTAGCAGTGACGTGGAATCAACCCAAATGCCCATGAGTGAGAGACTGGATAAAGGAAATGTGGTACATATACACCATGGAATACTATGCAACCATAAAAAGGAACAGGATCATGTCCTTTGCAGGCACATGGATGGAGCTGGAAGCCGTTATCCACAGTGAACTTACACAGGAACAGAAAACCAAACACCACATGTTCTCACTTATAATTCAGAGCTGAACAATGAGAACACGTGGACACAGGCAGGGGAACAACACACTCTGAGGAGTGGTAGGCGGCGGGGCAAGGGAGAACATCAGGAAAAATAGCTAATGCATGCTGGGCTTAAAACCTAGGTGATGGGTTGATAGGTGCAGCAAACCACCATGGCACACGTTTATCTATGTAACAAACCTGCACATTCTGCACATGTATCCCAGAACTTAAAATAGAATTTTCAAAAAGACAAAAAGTTATTAGAAAAAAAATTCAGCTGATGAGTCTCTTATTTTTAACAGTAAACGATACAACAAACTGGTCAGTGTCTCAGGGTTACAGACTGACTCTTAGACTTTAGTGTAACAGAACTTGAGCTACCTTAATGGCCAGAAAGCCTGTGTTGATCCCACAGAGGCTCTCAGGAGAACATATGGACTCTCCCATATATTAAATCAATTTAGCTGCTTGGATAGGCAGCCACAAATAATACTAACACATAAAGTTGTCATTTGGAGTCAAACAGAGGTTTGAATCCTAGCTAGAAAACGTATAAGCTATGTGCTCCTAGGCAGGGTACTTAAATTTTCTGAGCCCCTATCTCTCCACTTAGAAATAAAATACTGTAAAAATACACTTAAGTTATATGTTTGTTGAAAGGACTAAATATGAAAATATATTAAAAATCCTTATTTTTTTTTCCAACTTTTATTTTAGATTCAGGGGATACCTGTGCCAGTTTGTTATACAGGTAAATCGCATGTCATGGGGGTTTGGTGTACAGATTACTTTGTCACCCAGATAATAAGCATAATGCACAACAGGAAAAAAGGTGTCTGACATTTTAAAGAAAGTCTTAGAGAGCATTTGAAGAAAGTCATATTGAAGGGGAATCCTATGCTTTTGGGTTCCATCTGAAGTTAGTGAAACCACTTGGTTGATAATTATTTTGGGAAATGGGGTCAAATACAGGTTCTGTTTTCATAAATTTGCTTTAGAAGAAATGCTATGGGAAACCGTGTCCAGTGAGGGAATATGTGCACCGAGTGTGCTGGATTTCAGAGTATTTCTGTAAACTATTATTTGTGTCTCATTTATCTGTATCTTGCTGGCTCCCAGAAGAAGACTTAAGAGTGCAGGTAATTATAACATTGTTATAATTGAATGAATCATCATGTTTTAGCTTTTCTCTTAGAATTAATAAATGTTTATTGAGTAAATGTTGACTGAGAATATGTTGTTTCATTTGCAGTAAGAAACGTACAAACATTAAGAAGAGCCTATTCAGAAAAGACAGGTAAATTTCATGTTAATGTGCATATATACATGCATTCACCTGCTGTATTTTGTTTTCTGTTTCTGTTTCAATTGTCATAGTTGTGTTTGGAAGGATGGATAGATAGAGAGATAGCATCCAATTTTCTTTTGGAAGTACGTAGAATAAATCATCATAAAATGTTAAATTTATGGCTAGGCGGTAGCTCACGCCTGTAATCCCAGCACTTTGGGAGGCCGAGGCGGGCGGATCACAAGGTCAGGAGATAGAAAACATCCTGGCTAACACAGTGAAACCCCGTCTCAACTAAAAATACAAAAAAATTAGCCGAGCGTGGTGGCGGGCGCCTGCAGTCCCAGCTACTCGGGAGGCTGAGGCGGAGAATGGCGTGAACCTGGGAGGCGGAGCTTGCAGTGAGCCAAGATCACACCACTGCACTCCAGCCTGGGCGACAGAGCGAGACTCTGTCTGGAAAAAAAAACAAAAAACAAAAAACAAATTTACTCTTTTTAACCTTGGACAGTTTCTTTCACTTCTCAGAAACTTGATTTGTAGAATGAGGTTAATAATATAACTTTGGGTTATAGTGAAGATTTTTTAAAAGGTCAAAAACAAATACAAATATAATCATTGTTATTTAACTCCAAGGTGTAATTGCTGAAAACATCACAAATTCCACTTGAAACACACAGGCACACACATACACACACACACATATATAAACATACATGTATAAATCCCATATCTATCTCTCATCATAGATAGATATATATATGTGTGTATATATGTATCTCAAATCAAGATCCTTTGATAAATCAAAAGCTGTACCTGTTGCTCTGGCTCTTTGGCCTCTCTTTTATGCAGTGGATGAAGTCTTATAGGATAAACCACTTCATACTTCTTCACCCCAGGGAGTTCTTTTATAGCACTTACTGAGAAAAAAGAAAAAGAAAAGACTTATCCAGGTAGAACTGAAGTAGGCTGGTCAGTAAAGGCCATCCTTACTGCATTCCCAATGAACGATGCCACACACAGAAGCCTGAAGTGATGAATGTCAGAGTGATTAATGTGCTGACACCAGAAGAGAGCAACAACCTCAGAAAGCTACTCTTTCCTCTTAAAGTTTTACTTTAGCCTATATCTTCAGATCCTTCCCCACTAAAAGTTTACAGGTGTTACTGTATTTAGAGAAAGTATTTCTTTTGGATTTTCCCACTTCTTATCTTTGATCCTGCAGTGCAGGGAAATAGCAACAGCTCAGGCAAAAAGAAGTGAAGATAGAAGCGAAAGTAATCCTCTGAGAAGCGAATCAGTCCCAGAAAAATTGGGTTGAAGCACTGGAAACCATACAATGTTAGAAAAATAAAATAACTAATGTGCACAATTTTTATTCTATTTTTCTTGGATTTGAAAACAGCAATATTCTATACTAATAAAAAAAAACTATGTCACAGTAAGAAAAGGCTCCAATACTAGGTTCATAGAATGAGCTGGCATAAGCAGTACAGAAAAACCTTATTTTTGCATACAGAACATTTAAAAAATGAAAATTAGAGAAGCAGATAATTCAAACAGAATCACTGGCCTGGAAGGACTTTTTTGAGCCTGCAGTCATATTGAAAGAGAACTGAAAAGTGATTTGATCCAACCTATCTGCATTTTAAATGCTCCTCTCCATGTTGTCTTTAGAAGTCATTTTGTTTTATTGTATTTTGAGACAATGTCTCACTCTGTCACCAAGCTGGAGTGCAGAGGCACAAACAGGGTTCACTGCAGCCTCAACATCCTGGGCTCAAGCCATCCTTCCACCTCAGCCTCCAGAGTAGCTGGGACTGCAGGTGTGCACCACCATGCCTGGCTTTTTTTTTTTTTTTCTATTAGAGAAGTAGTCTTGCTATGTTGCCCAGGCTGGTCTTGAAATCCCAGGCTGTAGCAATCCTCCTGGCTCGGCCTCCCAAAGTGCTGGGATTACAGGTATGAGCCACAGCACCTGGCCTAGAAGTCATTTTGGAGAGAGAGATTCAATTTTCTCGAAGCTAACATTAGATTTTCTATTTTCTTTTTGATTTGCCCATGTGGTCTAGTCTCTGCTCTGTATATAGTCGATAGACCTGCTCCTTAGCTGCTACAGGTGGCTACAGGCTTAACCAAAATGTAGACTGCAGTAGCAGAATGGGGCCTAACTCTACAACTTTCTAAGACTAAAACTGAAAAGGTTTTTTTCTCTTCTCTGAGTAAGGACTAGGAGGGTCTCTAAAGGTAATGCCAGCTCATTAAAGTACTCAAATCTTAAGTTCTATGGTGAGATACATTTATGTTACTGTGGTTGATCTTTTAACAAACATAGATGAGGCACTTAATAAGTATTATTCCTTGCTTATCTAGGAGGACTGTGCACTTACTCCAGTCACTTCCCACAGAGCAAAACATTGTTTAAAGTTTTCTTCAGAAACTAAAGCATAAACTTTCAAAAAACAGCGTTTTTTAAAAATTACTCGAGAATGACTTTAATTCATTTAACGACTCAAGAGTCACTTACATTTAACTTTGAAGAACAGAAAAAGGGTTTAAACCAGCTAAGAACTCTTTGAGTCAAAAATGGGGTGTTAAAGTAATGAACTATCTTTTCTTTCAGTGGTGTAAGAGTTACTCTAAAAAAAAATTCAAAATTACTTAAAGCCATGGCACTGACATTAGAATACCTTATTTTTTTTATTTGGTTTGAGTCTTTAAATAGTTTGAAAAAAGGACGCCAATTAAATGGTTTCTAAAGCTAGTTCAAGTGGTTTATGATTTATGCATACAAGTACAGAATCCCCTATAACCTCTTTCAAGAGTCAGTGATCATTAGGATAACTGAATTCTGATCCAATGTGATAAAATAAGCCTCATTACATTGTCACACTTCAAGAACAACATCACGGGGTTCTTCAGTTCCTCATTTCTTGCTGTCACAGAGGTAATCGCTGGGCGTCTTTTATTTCTATTAAATTAACTTTTGGTAAAGGAAAAGAATAACATCAATTATAAAAAATTTTTGAAACATAAGTTCAAAAACCTAAAGAAAAATTGATGATTCTTTTTCTGAGTTAAAATTTTTCTAATTATTGTAATTATTTTGAAACACTAAGATGCCAAGAGGTAAGAAAATTACTCCTGCCAGAAATTAACTGATGATATTGACACAATTCCCTGCTGCCTCCTTAATTCAGGGACACAAAACAAGCATACCATAAGGCACCCACGTGCTGCCTGGTACATTACAGTAGCTAATCAATGCAATTAGTCTTGTTAAGATAGAGAGTTCAAGAAGCCAAATTTCACCAATGTTGCAGCCAACATAAATCTTTTTAAATGCTATATTAGAACACACATGATTCTAACAGGAAATAGTAGTCCAAGCTGCCTTCGTGGAATAAAATAATAGCTACGTTCCCGATTTTTTGTATAAAAGCAGAAAATGAAGTGAGTTTCCTTCTCAGCACCATTCAGAAATGGTAAGAAGGAAAACAGGCTCATCTAGCCAACACAAATTTTCTCTCACATGCACCCTGACCTCTATGCTTCTAGTTAGTATCTGAATCCCAATGTTTCATGAAATTAGAAATTGCAAACTGGCTCTTAAATATGGGCTTAAAATATGTAAGTTATGTAATTTATTTCCAACTTTTTGGTGGCCGAACACTTCCAAATGGAAACCAAAAACAAAGCAAAATAAAACAAACAACAACAACAACAAAAAAAAACCCACAACATTTCTTTTAGAAATCATTGGCAACCTCTCAATCTCTTCAGTTTGAAGTGAATGGAATTCCAGCTCCTTCCAAACTCCTGTCACTCCATATATTCTCTAAAGAAACTAAATGGAATTTCTCTTAAAGGCTCTTATTTTCTGGAAACCTAGAAGTCCCTGAAATAATGGGATCTGGAATACAACAAATTACACAGCCATTGTAGGGATGTAACAGACCTAAATATTGTTTAGCTCATCCATCCTTAAGTTTAATGGAAATGGTGCAGCGTCTTCCCCACTGAATAACATCACGTTAATTATTTTTGAAGCCTGAGGAACAAACACAACTAACTGCCATCCAGGGATTACACAAATCCAAGGTGTAACACAATATGTTTTTACTAATTCATTTTAATACTTGCCTTCTCTCTCCCACAGAACTCACACACTGGATTAGTCTTGACTAGCAAAACCAGATCAGGAAAAAGAAAACTGTTATTTTGGTTTAGATGGGATAATTATTTTTGACTGTTTTGAGTCTTAGAAAAGCCAAAGCTCATTAACAACGTTAATATGAGAGACATTAGTCTGGATTGCTACATTATTTGTTCATGTGTTTGGGGTCATTTTGGAAATGGGAACATGAGTATGTAATATTGACATTTTCATTTTCGTTCAAATGTGTTTGAAACTGTTCAAAGAAATGTCTTCTTTCCAAACTGAACACATCATATTAAACGCTGAATTAGGGTTTACACAAGGATATTGACTTATGTCCTGGGATTCTCTGCATCTCCTCAAACCATCTTGTGGTTTTAAACTTCATGCATTAAAAGTGAGTACAAACAAAAGGGAAAAAACTGCATTTCTATTAGGTCTGTTATTTTGACTATTTAGATTAAACTGTATATTTTCTTTTCAGTCTTCCAGTTACCTTATAAAGGCAAGGAAGAACTGGTAGTTTGAAATAAAATAATTTCAAAAAGTGCTGTACCCCCTGAGTATTCTGCTGTAATAAGGTAAGCACCTTTCTCCTTTGTTGATGCAATCATTTACATCTTCACCCCGCAAACACCTGTCACATCCTTTTAAATATTTGTTTTTCCTTTTCCTAGGATGAAATCCCATAAGTCAATTTTTTCTCGGGATTGTGAAGTTCACTGCACACAACCAGCCTTATTTTACATCTCTTTCTTTTATTTCAACCATCTGGGGACTGGGCAGAAGTCATGGTCAGAGGGGCACATATGTATTGCTTTGATGATGGGGGCAGAGAACAAACAGGAAGAACTGGGAAATGAAAATTGCTTTACTTCTTATATTCTGACTAGAAAGGCAACCCAAATGGGAATCATAACAGGGATAGTTCAGTGGCAAAAAGACACCCTTAAAAATAGAAGCTAGAAGTTAAAGGAGGGGTGACATCACACTTTTAGAGTTGACATCAGAGGAAGTTGCATCTCTTGGTGCCATGTTATACATGCACCGTCGGGGCAGCAGAACTGATTAGTGTGCCCAGTTGCACAAAAGGACTGTAATGTGCATGGGCCCCAGTGTTAGCCATGTGACTCTGTTAATGGATCCAGCTTGATCTTTACGCTCTTCAACTAAGCTAGTGCCCAAGCAGTTCTTGTATTTCAGCTTAGAGGGGGTTCTGGAAAAGCTCTTGGTGATAGCATTTTTGGAGAACGGAGAGAAAAAAACATTTCTATTAAGTCTGCCTCAAAAAGTAGGAATTTCAGGTCAATGTTAAATGCCTGGCATGAGTTTTATATATATTTTTAATATTTCAGGCTTATTTTACCAAAAGAAAGCTGGTGTAACACGTTCACATCAGACAAAATAGGTATCAAAGCAAAAGGCATTAGAGATGAAGAGGATCACAGCACAGTGGGAAAAGGTTCAGTTCAGATATAGGTACATATTATATAAAGCAAAAATACACAGAAACAAAAGGAAAATAATTCGATATTTAAAGATATTAGGTTAAGTGAAATTTTTATAAGTCTTGAAAACAAATCAGAAACAGGTGAGACACAGGAAAATCATTTTTAGCAACAAAGTACTAAGAGGGTGCATGGACAAGGAAAACTTTTCCCTCCCTAAGCCCATACCTCTAGTTGATAATCTGTTCCCATCCCCAGGTCCCAGCAAACATTCTAAGACCCAAGAACAGGTTTACTGGGAGGAATTCGAGGCACTGCAGTTCATGTGCTGAGTTAAATAAGCTCTGGAAATAGAAGCTGAAGAATCACAATACCCAATCTAATTTAACCAAAGTCTAATTAGAGAATTTACCAGAAATTGAGAGACTTGCTAGACATAATTTCCTGTTAGGAAGTAGTATTTTTCTCCTTTCAAATTTTTAAATGTTTGGTATAATCAGCAAAATAGAAGTAAATTATCAATTTAAGCTTAACAGAGATATTTTGTTAAGTAATATCACAGTACCTTATAAATAAAAAATATTAATTATTTCCAGTTAGTCACACGTATTATTACTAATAATGAGTAAATACAAAAATATACACTCAAACAGAAAGAGCCAAACTGGCTCCCATAATAATAGTAGGTATTTTCCTAAGCCTTGTACACAGTAATAAATAAATAAATCTGCCACATCTTTACCATTCTTTAAATGACAAGCTGGGTTTTGATGAATTCCACTTTTTCAGTCAAAAATCATATTCATGATTTAAATTGTGCTGTATGAAATTGTCCCTTTTATTTCTGTATATTCTCAGATGAGATGCATACATATTGGTTCAAGACCTCTTGTTGCCTCTTTTTAACATTGTCTTTGTATCACTCGCAGCCCCCAAACAACAGGTTAAAACCAGCCCAACTGGTTAGTAAGATTGATTGAGAAAAAAGAAAAAGAAAAAAGTCAAAATAGTTTATACAATAAAACTATTAGGAGACTATGAAAAGTTCGCTAATGCATTCAATAGAACCTGAAAAAGAGCTAAATATGTACCTGCAACAGAGAGGAGGAGACTGACTGGCAGGAGACCTTGCAACATGCTGGGTGATTCCAGGAGCACGGTGTCTGCTCTTCTCGCTCAGGTGGGTGCTGCTGGGTCTGTCCCTGCCTCCTCTCCAGTGAGACAGAATGAAACTCCCTGGTTCATTCTTGTCTCTGATTCAGGAAGTGTTTACTAAAGGTGTTGCGCAACCTCGAAGCTGTGGTCCTGCAACAATGGCCCAGCAGGCGGAAGTCCTGGCTGCCTCCTGGCTCTAAGATTACTTGATCTGAACTATTGTTTTGCTCTCCTTTGCCATACTCCCCACTCCAAAGTAGTACATTTCCAACATATTACTATAGCCAGATAAGCTACAAGGAAAGAGGCAACTGCATTAATGAGTCTTGAAAAACATGCTAGACATTTATTTACATTACGGATATGATATATAAATATATGTTTAAATATATTTTTATATATATACAGTTGTAGGAAAAAAGTTATTAAGAATGTTATTTTTCCCCCACATACATAATGTGGTTATGTAAAGCAATTTCTAATTCAACCTAATTACTATATAGCATTCTCTTTTCCATTATTTTATGTTCTATTCCTCACACAAGTGTACTCTCAGGAAGTTTGAACTATCCTGAAATAAGAATGTCTGACAATATAAGCACAATAATTTTTAGATCCTTGGGGGTATTTGTGTCATAACTGGCAATGAGGAGTGTGGAAGAAGGATTCAAGACCCAAAGGATACAATTTTAGGATCTGTCACTGGTGGTAGTAAGGCTAAACTGGGCATGTCTAAAAATCATACTTATAACCAATAAAATAACTAATATCAACTGAGCTGCTTATTAAGTTTTAGGTACTGATAGGGTTTGGTTGTGTCCCTACCTGAATCTCATCTTGAATTGTAGCTCCCATAATCCCCATGTGTTGTGGGAGGGACCCAGTGGGAGATAATTGAATCAAGGGGCGGGCTTTTCCCATGCTGTTCTCATTATAGTGAATAAGTCTCATAAGATCTAATGATTTTATAAAGGGCAGTTCCCCTGCTCAGGCTCTCTTTGCCTGCCTCCATGTAAGATGTGTCTTTGCTCCTCCTTCACCTTCTACCATGAGAGTGAGGCCTCCCCAGCCATGTGAAACTGTGAGGCCATGAAACCTCTTTTTAATTTACCCAGTCTCAGATATTTCTTCGTGATAGTATGAAAATGGACTAATACAGGTACTCTCCTAAATCTACTGTACTTGTTATTTTATTAGTCTTTATGATACTCATGTATTATGCATTTACAATCATTTTGCAGGTGAAAATTTGGGGTTTTAAAGGCAAAATTCAAAAGATTAAGAATCAGTTGTCCCCTCATTGTATAGATTAAGAAGATTAAGCAGATAAAGTCACCTATCCAGTAAGTGGTAGAAGTGGAATCTGAACTATGTGTTGTCTGGGCTCTTAGTCATATACTCTAATGCTTTCCCTTGGCTTAGCTGACTTGTACTCCCAGTATCATTTCTATTGAAAAGATTCTGGGAGAATAGAAATAATTATGAAATTCCTAAGGAATAGAAATTACGCTGAGGACCAGTTATTACCACAAAACCTAGTCCTAGTCCACTAAAATCATGCATCATTTTACAGATTCTGAAACACATTCTCATACTAGAGGGATTACAGTGATTATTGATGTCTCCAAATGATTATACAGTCATCAACTAAAACCACAAAGGAATTTTTGAGTCTAGTTACTGAGCATTTTAACCATCAGGATTGCGATTCACAGATTTCTTGCCTTTTCAACCCAAGTTCCATTGCTTTGTCTTTTCCAGGGAACAGAAAGGATACTTCAACTTTTAATTATTACATATTTTTTCTCCATTAATTCAACGTAATTTTACTTACAGCTATTATGTGTCAGACACTGAGATTGCAGTTGAAAAAACACAATCATGGCCGGGAGTGGTGGCTCATGTCTGTAATCCCAGCACTTTGGGAGGCTGAGGCAGACAGACTACCTGAGATCAGAATTTGAGACCAGCCTGCCCAACATGGTGAAACCCCATCTCTACTAAAAAAAAAAAATTAGCTGGGTGTGGTGGTGGTCACCTGTAATCCCAGTTACTCAGGAGGCTGAGGTAGGAGAACTGCTTGATTGCTTGAACCCAGGAGGCAGAGGCTGCAGCGAGCTGAGATTGCAACAACACACTCCAGCCTGGGCAACAGAGCGAGACAGTGTCTCAAACAAACAAACAAACAAAAAACACAATCACTTTCATTGAGATGTTCACAATCTGACAAAGATAAGTTCAATTACCATAAAATTGCACAGAGTGAGTACCACCTATAAATGATCACAATATCACAAGGTGTTTAGTGTTACAATAGATTTATCAATAGAAGTCAGAGGTCTACACCAAACAGGGCAGGGAGTGCATCCTGGTGGCAGGAGTCCTGGGAAAAGGACTCCCTATTTCATAAATGGTGCTGGGATAGCTGGCTAGCCATATGCAGAAGAATAAAACTGGACCCCTACCTTACACCATATACAAAAATTAACTCAAGATGGATTAAAGATTTAAATGTAAGACCTCAAATTATGGAAAACCTAGAAAATGACATTCTGGACATTGGCCCTAGGAAACAATTTATAACTTAAGTCCTCAAAAGCAATTGCAATGAAAACAAAAATGGATGAGTGGGACCTAATTAAATTAAAGAGCTTCTGTAGAGCAAAAAGAAACTATCAGCAGAGCAAACCAACAACCTACATAACGGGTGAAAATATGAGCAAACTACACAGCTGACAAAAGTCTAATATCCAGAATCTATAAAGAACTTAAACAATTGAACAAGCATGAGATAAGTAACCTCATTTAAAAATGGGCAAAAGGGTGGGTGCAGTGGCTCATGCCTGTAATCCTAGCACTCTGGGAGGCCAAGGTGGGCAGATCACCTGAAGTCAAGAGTTCGAGACTAGTCTAGCCAACATAGTGAAACCCCATCTCTATTAAAAATACAAAAATTAGCCACGTGTGGTAGGCACCTGTAGTCCCAGCTACTTGGGAGGCTGAGGCAGGAGAATCACTTGAACCCGGAGGAGGAGGTTGCAGTGAACCAAGACTGCGCCACTGCACTCCAGCCTGGGTGACAGAGCAAGACTCCGTCTCAAAAAAAAAGAAAAAAAAAAAAAAAAAGGGTCAAAAGAAATGAACAGACACTTCTCAAAAGAAGAAATACAAGCAGTTAAAAAAACATGTGAAAAAATTGCCCAACATAACTAATTATCAGAGAAATGCAAATCAAAACAATGAGGTACCAACTCACACCAGCCAAAATGGCTATTACTAAAAAGTCAAAAAATAACAAATGCTGGTGAGGCCACAGAGAAAAGGAAACACACAATGTTGGTAGGAATGTAAATTAGTTCAGCCACTCTGGAAAGCAGTTTGGAGATTTCTCAAAGAAATTAAAACAGAACTGTCATTTGACCGAACAATCCGTTTACTGGATATATAGCCAAAAGAAAATAAATTATTCTACCGAGAAGACACATGCTTATGTTCATCACAGTACTATCCACAAGAGCAATGACATGGAATCAAGCTAGGTGCCCATCAGTGGTGGAATGGATAAATACAATGTGGTACATATATACCTTGGAATACTATGCAGCTATAAAAAAGAATTAAATTGTGTTCTTTGCAGCACATGGATCACCTAGAGGCCATTAACCTAAGTGAATTAATGCAGAAACAGAAAACCGGTACCTTACACCATATACAAAAATTAACTCAAGATGGATTAAAGATTTAAATGTCAGACCTCAAACTATGGAAAACCTAGGAAATGACATTCTGGACATTGGCCCTGGAAACAATTTATGACTTAAGTCCTCAAAAGCAATTGCAATGAAAACAAAAATGGACAAGTGGGACCTAATTAAATTAAAGAGCTTCTGTACAGCAAAAAGAAACTATCAGCAGAGCAAACCAACAACCTACATAACGGGCGAAAATATAAGCAAACTGCACAGCTGACAAAAGTCTAATATCCAAAATCTATAAATACTGCATGTTCTCAATTATACATGGGAGCTAAACGCTGTGTACCCATGGACATAAAGATGACAACAATAGACACTGGGTACTGCTGGAGAAGGGAGGGAAGAGGGGAAAAGGCTGAAAACCTAGCTATTGGATACTATGCTGAGTACCCGGGTGGCAGGATTATTTGTACCCTAAACCTCAGCATCACGGAATATATCCATGTAACAGATGGATATGTACCTCCTTGAATCTAAAATAAAAGTTGGAAAAAAAGAATTATGAGAATAAATAAGGACAATATATTATAGCACATTAGTTTATGGCTGGTAGTGTTTGGAATTGTTGGAGCAAAGAATGCCTGAGAGAATGGGAAGATATCCTGCTAAGTATTTGTGCTTGACTTTGACGCTGTGGTGAATGGTCACCACTGATGGGATCGAATGAGAAGTATAACCTTCCTGCTTGCTTCTTGAGGAGGGGAGTGCCCTGGAAATGGTGAATGATGACAGTCTGCATGCTGATCCATGTGGAATTTTAAATTGGCACTTGTTCTTCGGCTCTTTTCAATTCTCTTGTAGTCGTGACATGCCTTTGATCAGTTTGTTCCAGTTATCATTCTCATAATTTTTCATCATTCTTCATAGCCCAGAGTTATAATTCCCTTTACTGTCAAAGAATTTATACCAATCTCTAAATGAATTTTATTTTCTGCTTCCCTGGTTATTTCCTCAAAGTTGTATCAAGTAAGCATAAAAGTTGAATTTGGGCAGTCAGTTTAATTTTCCCTTTTGTTTCTTTGTGATAAATACAGCATTATCATTGACATCTTTCATTGCCATGACTTGTCAAACTCTTTGCCAGAATATAAAATATAAATGGCAGAAAGAAGAGCTACATGACTGAAAAAACATATATAATACATGAAGAGGAGTACAGTAGAATGAGAAAAAGCATAAGGTAGCACTCAAAACCTGTGCTAAAACATATTTAACAATGTTCTCTCTCTCTCTCTCTATATATATATATAAAATAAATTACACACAGGAATAATGCATGCGTATATACATATCATTACTATTGACTCATTACACACACACACACACACACACACACAGTCATGGATCACTTAACAATGGGGATACAGTCTGAGAAATGTCATTAAACGATTTCGTTGGTTTGTGTTAGAGTATACTTACACAAACCTAGATGGTATAGACTACCACACACCTAGGCTGTATGGTATAGCCTATTGCTCCTAGGCTACAAACCTGTATAGCATGTTACTGTACTGTATAGTGTAGGCAGCTGTAATACAGTGGTATCATGAAACTAAATATATCTAAGTATAGAAATGATATACAATATTATAATCTTATAGGACCACATCATATATGCAATCCATCAATGACCGAAATGTCATTTATGTGGTACATAACTATGTATATACATTTATATGTGTATATATATACACATATAAATATATATAAACCCTCCTTTTCTTTTTGAGATGGTCTCGCTGTTGCCCAGGCTGGAGTGCATTGGCATGATCCTGGCTCACTGTAACCTCTGCCTCCTGGATTAAACCCTGTTTCTATTATATACAGGTATGTGCCACATAAATGACATTTCAATCATCAATGGATTGCCCAGATGATGGTGGTACATCACCACATATAATTGTATGTATATATGTATATGTGTATAAAAATATATATTTAGGATAGTATTTCAGAAAGAGAAATAATACAAGGTATGAGTGCTGCAAAAGGAAGTATGGAATGGTGTAAAATCAGATGGAAATTTCAGAACAATTACCTTGGCAGCAGTGTAGAGAATGACTCTAAAGCCTGATTAGGGAAGAGAAAAGATACCAGCTGTAAGTGAAAATGAAAGAAAGCAAGAGTCTGAATTTAAGCAGAAACAACAGGGATGGAAAGAAGGGGAGAGATTTGAGAAATATTTATTAAGTATAATGGAGAGATACAGTTATTAATTAGATATGGGGGTGCTGAAATTAAAAAGAGGGTTTATTCATTAAATATTTATGTAGTGTCTACTATGTGCCAACTACTGGAATAGGTTTTGGGGATTAGGCTTTCAACACAGAGATAAAAATGTATACATGCTTGGAGATTAGAATCTAGTTGGAATGGGAACGTGAGCAAAATAAATGCTATGAAAAAAATAAAACTAGATGACAAGTTCTGAACAAACATCCATTGCTCATTCCTACTGTTTCCTGCCATGGGAAGACTACCCAGTAGCATAACCTCCTAGCCCCTTTCTGACCCTTGTCTTATTTTGCCAAGGCAAGTAGAGGAACCCATCTGCCTTGCTTGTTTCTCTTCTCCTCTTGGGAGAACATGTATGCTCTGCTTCTCCATCCTTAAGTATCCAGGGATGCAGTGAAGAGCTGTCCTCATGTGGAACAGAGCCAGCCCCATGGACTTCCTGGGAAAGGTAAATGAGCCTACTGGATTCTGGGGACCAGTGCTAGCAAACATGCTAGTCCAAATTTATAAACCACATTTTGGTCATATCCAGCATTAACAATTACAAGGGGGCTATTTTAGTCTTTATTTTCCTTGTCTGCTTTCTCAGATGGCTCAGCGATATAGTGAGGAAGATGAATATTTTTAATTGCCTTATCTTAAAGACAAACAAGAAGGGGTAGGAAGGAAGGAGAGCTGGGGCTACTTATTCCTCTTTTGGGAGGTAACAGATGTTGGGCTCTAAATAATGAGAACCTAAACGTGAAAAAACATGGGAAGAGCATTTCAGGTAGAGGGAACAGAAAATGCAAAAGGATGAGGCTGAAGCACATTCAACATGTCCAAGAACAAAACACGAATCCATGTGGCTGGAGTGACTGAAGGAGAAGAGTCAGTGGGAGATGTGGGGAAAGACGGTAAGAATGTTGAGCCTAAAAGTGGCTTATTTCAAGTGCAATGGAACACCCTTGGTGGAACTTCAGCACATTTCTAAAATTTATCTACAGAGACAGAAATACAGAGTGGAAGAAGAGAGACCAATTCAGAAGCTGCTGAAACACATCCAAAAAACAATGGGTCAGTGAGGAAGCAGTGAAAATGGAGGTCAGTGCTCAGGTTAGGGACATATTTAGGCAGTAGGGATGCCAACGTTTGCTTATGGCTTGATTCCCTGATCTTTGTGTAGGAATCTGAGTTAGGTAATTGCCTTGTTCCATTAGAGTGGAGATTCACACAAGAGAGCAGGTAAGGGAAAAAATGTGTAAGATTAGTTTGAGACATGTTACATTCAGGCAGGATATTCAGTCATTAATTAGAAAAAGCATGTTTGGATTTCAGTATGGAGATCTATTTTTAAAAAATAATAGATATCATAAACATAATTGTCATGCTGTGTTCTCTGGGAATTTATTATATTCAAGAGCTTAAAATACTTTCAATAGTAATTACTAACAACCATCAATTTCTATGAATGAGAAACTGTGTCTTTTTTTAATTTAGGTTCCAGGGTACATGTACAGGATGTACAGGTTTGTTACATAGGTAAATGTGTGCCACTGTGGTTTGCTGCACCTATCAATCCATCAGCTAGGTATTAAGCCCCACAGCCCCACATGCATTAGCTATTTATCCTGATGCTCTCCCTCCCTGTCCCCCCTGACAGGCTCCAGTGTGTGTTCTTCACCTCCCTGTGCCCAAGTGTTCTCATTGTTTAGCTCCCACTTATGAGTGAGAACATGCAGTGTTTGATTCTCTGTTCCTGTGTTAGTTTGCTGAGGATAATGGCTTTCAGCTCCATCCATTTCCCTCTCATTCCTTTTTATGGCTGCATAGTATTCATTTGTGTGTATGTCCCACATTTTCTTTATCCAGTCTATTACTAATGGGCATTTGGATTGATTCCATGTTTTTGCTATTGTGAATAGTGCTGCAATAAACTTATGCATACCTGTATCATTATAATAGAATGATTTATATTCCTTTGATTATATGCCCAGTAATGGGATTGCTGGATCAAATGGTATTTCTGGTTAAAGATCCTTGAGAAATTGCCTCACTATCTTCCACAATGGTTGAACTAATTTACATTCCCACCAACAGTATAAAAGCGTTCCTATTTCTCCACAGCCTCACCAGCATCTGTTGTTTTTTGACATCTTAATAATTTCCAGTCTAACTGGCATGAGATAGTATCTCATTGTGGTTTTGATTTGCATTTCTCTAATGAGCAGTGATGTTGAACTTTTTTTCATATTTGTTGGCAACGTAAGTTTCTCCTTTTGAGAGGTGTCTGTTCATGTCTTTTGCCCAATTTTGATTGGGTTGCTTTTTGTTTTTGAGATGGAGTCTCGCACTGTAGTCCAGGCAGGGGTGCAGTGGCGCGATCTCGGCTCACTGCAAGCTCCACCTCCCGGATTCATGCCATTCTCCTGCCTCAGCCTCCCGAGCAGCTGGGACTACAGGTGCCTGCCACCACACCCGGCTAACTTTTTGTATTTTTAGTAGAGACAGGGTTTCACCAGGTTAGCCAAGATGGTCTTGATCTCCTGACCTCGTGATCCACCCGCCTCGGCCTCCCAAAGTGCTGGGATTACAGGCATGAGCCACCACCCCCTGTGAATTTGTTTAAGTTCCTTATAGATTCTGGATATTAGACCTTTGTCCGATAAGTTGCAAAATTTTTATCCCATTGTATAGGTTGTCTCTTCACTCTAATGATAGTTTCTTTTGCTGTGCAGAAGCACTTTAGTTTAATTAGGTCCCATTTGTCAATTTTTGCTTTTGTTTCTGTTGCTTTTGATGTTTTTCTCATGAAATCTTTCTCTGTGCCTACGTCCTGAATGGTATCGCCTAGATTTTCTTCTAGGGTTTTTATAGTTTTGGGTTTTACATTTAAGTATTTAATCCATCTTGAGTTAATTTTTGTATAAGATGTAAAGAAGGGGTCCAGTTTTAAAGTTCTGCATATGGCTAGACAGTTTTCCCAGCACTATTTATTAAATAGGGACTCCTTTCCCATTGTTTATTTTTGTCAGATTTGTTGAAGATTGGATGGTTGTAGATGGTCTTATTTCTGAGATCTCTATCTGTTCCATTGGTATATGTGTCTGTTTTGGTACCAGTACCATGCTGCTTTGATTACTGCTGCCTTATAGTATAGTTTGAAGTCATTTAGCATGAAGTCTCCAGCTTTATTCTTTCTGCTTAGGATTGTCTTGGCTATATGGGCTTTCTTTTGGTTCTATATGAATTTTAAAGTAGTTTTTTCTAACTCTGTGAAGAATGTCAATGGTAGTTTAATGGGAATAGCAATGAATCTATAAATTACTTTGGGCAATATGGCCATTTTCATGATAATGATTCTTCCTATCCACAAGCATGGAATGTTTTTCCATTTGTTTGTGTCCTCTATCGTTTCCTCTCTCATTTCCTTTGAACTACAAGCACTAGTTTGTAGTTCTCCTTGAAGAGGTCCTTCACATCCCTTGTTAATGGTATTCCTAGGTATTTTATTCTCTTTGTAGCAGTTGTGAATGGAAGTTCATATATGATTTGGCTCTCTGCTTGACTATTGTTGGTGTATAGGAATGCTTGTAATTTTTGCACATTTATTCTGTATCCTGAGACTTTGCTGAAGTTGCTTATCAGCTTAAGAAGCTTTTTGGCTGAGATGATGGGGTTTTCTAGATATAGGATCATGTCATCTGCAAACAGAGACAATTTGACTTCCTCTTTTCCTATTTGAATGCCTTTTATTTCTTTCTCTTGCCTGATTGTCCTGGCTAGAACATCCAATACTATGTCGAATAGGAGTGGTGAGAGAGGGCATCCTTGCCTTGCACCAGTTTTCAAAGGGAATGCTTCCAGTTTTTGCCCATTCAGTATGATATTGGCTGTGGGTTTGTCATAAATGGCTATTATTTTGAGATCTGTTCCATTAATAGTTTATTGAAAGTTTTTAACATGAAGCGATGTTGAATTTTATCAAAGGGTTTTTCTGAATTTACTGAGATAATCACGGTTTTTGTCATTAGTTCTGCTTATGCGATGAATTATGTTTACTGATTTGCATATGTTGAACCAGCGGGGTGAAGCTGATTTGATCATGGTGGATAAGCTTTTTGATGTGCTGCTGGATTCAGTTTGCCAGTGTTTTATTGAGGATTTTTGCATCGATGTTCATCAGGGATATTGGCCTGAAGTTTTCTTTTCTTGTATCTCTGCCAGGTTTTGATATCAGGATGATGCTGGCCTCATAAAATGAGTTAGGGAGAAGTCCCTCCTTTTCAATTGTTTGGAATAGTTTCAGAAGGAATGGTACCAGCTCCTCTTTGTGCCCCTGGTAGCATTCAGCTGTAAATCCATCTGGTCCTGGGCTTTTTGTGGTTGATAGGCTATTTATTACTACCTCAATTTCAGACCTTGTTATTGGTCTAATCAGGGATTCGACTTCTTCCTGGTTTAGTCTTTGTAGGGTGTATGTGTCCAGGAATTTATCCATTTTTTGATTTTCTAGTTTATCGCATAGAGTTGTTTATAGTATTCTCTGATGGTTGTTTGTGTTTATGTGGGATCAGTGGTGACATCCCTTTTATCATCTTTTATTGTGTCCATTTGATTCTTCTCTCTTTTCTTCCTCTTTATTCTAGCTTGCCTTCTACCGATTTTATTAGTTATTTTTTTTTTTCAAAAAACCAGCTCCTAGATTCATTGAATTTTTGAAGGGTTTTTCGTGTCTGTATCTCCTTCAGTTCTGCTCTGATCTTAGTTATTTCTTGTCTTCTGCTAGCTTTTGGATTTGTTTGCTTGCTTCTCTAGTTCTTTTAGTTGTTATGTTAGGGTGTCAATTTGAGATGTTTCCAGCTTTCTGATGTGGGCATTTAGTGCTATAAATTTCCTCTTAACACTGCTTTAGCTGCGTCACAGAAATTCTGGTATGCTCTCTCTTTATTCTCATTGGTTTCAAAGAACTTCTTGATTTCTGCCTTATTTTCATTATTTACCCAGGACTTATTCAGGAGCAGGTTGTTCAATTTCCATGTAGTCACGTGGTTTTGAGTGAGAGAAACTTTCTCTCCAACTCCACATAAGGGGGTTTACTACTGAAGCACCAGAAGGACTTCACTGTAACTCTCTTTCACTCCCAGAAACAAAATAGCTATGCTCCCAGGTGCTCTATTCACTTAGGGGAGAAGAAGGGCTGTACATGTGAAAGACTGTATCTTTTCTCCAAAGAACTTCACAAACACTTCTTTTCAGCCCAGAATTTTCCCTTCTTTCTGCTTGCCAGCTGGATTATGTCAAAGAAGGTCATGTAGCAAGAAGAGTAAGTTTTTTTTATTGAAAGCTGGGAATGAGAGAAAAAGGATGACTCCTACTGAGCCCCGGCCTCAGGTCAGGGGGTGCACAGTCTTGGTGAGGGGAAAAGGAGAGAGAATCACATGCTCACTGGGCAGTTGGGATGTGCCAGTTGGCTTATATAGCACATATGAATCTTCACCGTAACGCTAAGAAGGAAATATCGTGGAAATATCAAAGACAATAGACATTTTCTGATCATGTGTGACAAATTTTGGGGCCGCTGGATGTGGGATCTTCAACATATGTTTTTATTCAGTTAGTCAATAATATTTTAACAGCTGTGCTCTTACAATTGCTCCTGGAACGGACAGAAAAGTACCACTCCTTCAACCCAAAGGCAGGCCAGAGTCATGTAGTGCCAAGGCACTGTATTTGTTTCCCAGTACCTAGAAATGGCCTGCACAGAACTGGCACTGAGTGAATGCTTTGGTGATGCTTTTAAGAGATGTTTGGTGGGGTTTCAGGAAATTGGACTTTAACATGGCTGACCACATTCCTTCTATCTGCTCACTACATATATTGTATATGTGCTGAAAATGTATCTGATTTCTTTCCTTCCTCTGTTGTTTAGCAAAACAGACAAAAGTGCAAACTTAGAGTTGGAGGGTAACCTCCAAGAGAAAAACAGGCTGGTCAGTGTCAAATACAAGATTTTAAAATATTTTCTTAAACATTAAACAAATACTTCAACCATTGAGAATCATTCTAAAGAAATTGTCTGAAATGTAAAATGTATCAAGATATTAATTATATTGTTGATACAAGATAAAAGCAAAATTAAATGTCCCAAAATAAGAACATGGTTATGTAAATGTTTCATGCTTGCTCAATAAAGTACTGAACCATAATGTAAAATTACCATTATAATGAATTTTTATATTATAGAAAATGTTTATATTATACTGTTAGGGCAAAAATGATGTACTACAGTTAAATGATCAAAACTAAATAAAAGCATCAAGAATCCATTAAGAATAAAAAACCAAGAACACAAAAAGAAGTCCCAAATAGAGGCATGTGTGAATGTGTGTGTGTGTGTGTGTGTGTGTGTGTGTATGTGTGTATGGTAAGAAGATAAGTATTTTTATCTCCTCTCTGTATTTCTTAATTTTTAAGCAGTGGTTGGTATTACCTTTATAACTTAACAATTATGTAAAAATCAGCTTGGAAAATAAATATTTTCCAAATTTAATAAAACAAGCTCTTTCTCCCCTAACCAAGATTTTCTTTAAGATATATGTGTTATTCATCATTAAATCCCCAAGACCCCAATACAGTGATTAGAAAATAGTAGCTGCTAAATATTTGTACACTAAATTCATGATTGAAACAGGATCACTCTTCAAAAAACAAGCAGAGCCTCAGAACCACAAGTCATGAACTGCTGAGCCTTAGAAGAGGAGGAAAAAAAAAGCTATTAGGGTTTCCTATTCTAACATGCTCTGTTCCCACCTGTGGTAAGTAGATAGTGTTGCACAAAGAAAAGAAAGCTATTTGCTTTTGAGCTTAGTAAACACATTTCCACAAAAGAAAGCGAAGAGATTTTGTTATCACCTTTCAGGTACTATATTTACATAAGTTTCTACCCTCTTGCTTAGGTTGCTATTTTATAATTAGTTAATAACCTCTCAGGCCCTGAATTACTAGCTATGTATTTAAGACACGCTACATGCTATTAGGTCCTTTGTAACATGAAACAGCCCATCCTCTCATCATACACTATCTAAGTTTTAAAGCAATAGGTAATCAGCAGAGATGTTAATATATTGTATACAATCAATGGATGCACTATTTGCAGAATTTGACGCACTTAACAAGCAGACAGGGCTTGGCAGAACAATCTGCCTTCCAAGTAGAATGAGGATAGACACCACCCATCTTTATATCTATGATTCTTCTATGTTTTCTTTCTTCTCCCTACACTCTCCACTGGCATGATGAGATATAAGGACTAAAATTAAGGTCCAATGTTATGTATGACATGACATTTGGGGAAAACTGGTAGGGCCTGGAATGGCTTAACCACCAATCTTGCTCCTCACCTTTCTCCCATGGATAACCTCCACTAGTCAAACAACTCTCCTTATCACAGGGACTAGGCAAAGTTCCTGCTTATTCCTGAGTAGTGAGCTTCAGTTCCCTGCCAGCTACAGAATTACTCAGATAAGGCAATCACATACTCCCACGGGAACCAGAGGGCACCTCACCGCATTGATACTAATCACAAAGCCTGCTTCCCACAGCCCTAGTTTTTCCCTGTTCCCTGTACTTATGTTCCTCATGTGGCCTTTATGGCATGCAGTGTCCTCTTCCTTGAGCGATGAGTATATGTGACATGAGCATTTGTCAACCTTATCTGTCCAGGACCAGGCAACATATGTTCAGCATCTCCATAAACCTAGGATGGGAATACCTCCCCAGCCAACAGGGCAAATAAAAGAAGATAAGACTGCTCACTATGCATCTGCATAACTAAGAAGGCCTCCAGTGGATCCTTTGTAGGACAAAGAGGATCAGCTTTTTTGGGTCGAAAATCCTGGATCTACTTTACAAAGTAATGGACACCCACATGAATAATAATGCCCAAAGATATCACAAGTGGATTAAAATGTACTTTAAACAACTGGGAGTATGTAGATGCATATATATATATATATGCACACACACACATACATATACACACATATACGCACATATTTGTACATATACACACACACATATATACTCCCAAATGTGCTATATATAAAAACATACAATACAAATACATATATATATGTCTGTGTATATATATATATGAACCTACTGTGTATATTCAGAAAATTATGTGTGTATATATGTGTGTATATATGTGTATATATGTGTGTGCATATATGAGTATGTGTATATATATATACACATACATATACACACACATATATATATACTGATTCTTCATCTTTTGATCAGATAAAATCTTGTAAGCCAGGACCAACAGATTCTGAGGCTGACAGCCCTGTCCTCACTTTTAAATAAGCAATGTAGAAGAACACTGACAAGAATACATTCAACATATTGATCTCTACAGGAATGAGTCATTCTACAATATTACCTGTTTCTGTGTCATGTGCTTCTGGATTAATAAGAGGTGCTCAGTTGAGAGGATCAAAATACAAGACTGGGCAATTCTGATTTCTCTCTCAATTTGCAAGCAAAGAAAGTTGTTAACCCATCCTCTTAAAAATGGTTGATGATTTATGCACAATGTGTATGAATGTCAACCATCCAAATATTCATGTTTTGTTAATTTGGGATTAACATGATCCCAGATGGGGATAGGTCAAGAATGAAGCCATTTGTGAAAACGGCTTAAAAAGAGAGAAAATAAATTCAATGGAGTGTCATTTAACTGAGAGATAAGAGTTTGAAGAAATTAAGATCTGGAATTTTAACCTATAAATGTGTGATGGTTAATTTTTTTTTCCTCTTTGGCATTGAATTTATTTTTATTTTAAGTTCTGGGATACATGTGCAGAATATGCAGGTTTGTTGCATAGGTATAAATGTGCCATGGTGGTTTGCTGCACCTATCAACCCATCATCTAGGCTTTAAGCCCCACATGCATTAGGTAGATGGGTAATTTTATAGGTCAACTTGACTGAGCCAGAATGTCCATATATGTCCATATATTTGGTCAGATCTTATTCTTGGTCATTCCTGAGAAGATTTTTTTATGAGATTAACATTTAAATGAGAAGACTATGAGTAAAACAGATTATGCTTCACAATACAGGTGGGCCTCACCAATCAGTTGAAGGCCTTAGTACAACAAAGACTGACCTCACCTGAATAAGAAGGAAGTCAACCAGCAGACCACCTTTGGACTTGAGCTGTAACTCTTCTCTGATTCTCCAGGGAAAACAAAATACTGATTTACCAAGCTTCCATAACTGTGTGAGCCAAGTGCTTAAAATAAATCTCTTTCATATGTATAGGAAAGAGATATATATGTGAGTATATGCATGCACACACACACACACACACACACCCTGTTAATTCTGTTTCTCTGGAGAGCCCTGATGAATACAAAGTATTCATTCATTTCCCTGCACTTCCTATGGGAATTAGGATTTTTTGGATACAGCATTCCATGTTCCCCTTTCTACCACTTAAGATGTGATAGAGGAAGAAATGATGAAAATGGCTGTGCAAATACTTTTTCCAAGAATGGGAAAATCACCACTCTTATCCCACTAGTCATGTTTAGTAGTCTACAGGGCATGGAGATAGCCATCCTGGTAGAACCCAGCATATGACACGTGCTCACACTCAGTAAATACAAGATGGAGAAACTGGGCCTTGAGCAGGTTACTGAGAATAAATCAGAGTGGTGGACAAACAGGGAACAGAAGAGACTTTCTAAATAAATAAAGTAGTCAACAGCACCAAATATCCCCGAGATATTATAGTAATTAAGAAGTAGTCTTTGAATTTGGAAATGAGTAGGTCACTGATGTCTTTATCAAGGATAGTTTCAGTGGAGAGATAAAGGCGGAATTAAGTAAAGAGTATGAATTAAAATGTATTGTTTATAGAACTTGTACTTGGAAGGAAAGGAGAAATAACAAGCTGGTTTTTTTTGCCCCAAGATGAAACTGGTTAATTTGTAAGTTGAAAGAGTGTAGAAGGATGAAAGTTATAGAGTGGTAGGTTAGAGTTCATTCTCATTGGGCTTGAGATGAGCTGGGATTAAGAAAGCAGGTAAGTGTATTCGACTAGGGTGATGGATTATAAGTGATAGCCTATAATGGATCTAATCCAATATAGGTTATCATAACCTAAAAACCTGTACTGATTTAGAGCCAATAGAGGTTATCACAAGACCTAAAAAATATTGGGGTCTAGTGAAGAAGTATGCACACTATGGAAAGTATTGTATCCATGAAACAAGAACAAAATAATCTGCTAGGAGTGAGGGGTGAGAGTTGGGTGAGAGTCTCAAGGGGCACGTTGGATGTTGGGATCCATAAATCCTTCATGGCAGCTCTACTGACACATATATTAGGAAAAATACAGAAGTACAAGTATCATACTATCCAAGTTGAATATACATAAAATAACCAACTTGAGCAGAACTAAGGTGATAGAACACTTCTCTGAAGTTCCCCCCAAAAAAGCAAAACAAAAACAAAGCATGGCTGTTAAAATAATTTTGTGAAAAGTATGTAAAACAATTTAAGAGGCCTATGTTACCCCCCCAAAAAAAAGATTTTTTTAAAAAAACAACTCTATAAAACAAGAGAAGAAAGCCACAAGGAGGAAGCACACTTAAATGACCGTAGCTACAAAGGAAGCAGCCTGTATTGGGCAAAGCATGCAGGAGAACACTGGGGAAGATGCCAATGTGAGCTTTCGGGTCTAATCTTTCTGCTGCTGATACTCTGTCCTTTGGAGATACACAGAACAGAGAACAACTTTTCACACTGTTCATTATTAGTCAAGAGCTATAGGCAATTAGATCTTTAATTTAAACTACGGGAGGTCATATGGTTACAACTGTGCATCTTGCTCAAATGAGCTTGCTAAAACATCACATCTTTTAAGATTCATTCACACATCCATTTCTCCAGAGCATATACTTATTTCTAGCAGGTCAGGCCAAAATAGGCTCCAATGCCACTTCAAAAAGATACAGAAAAAATATGGACGTGTACCTATATATTAGTATCGTGTGTGAGTGTGCAGAAGTGGAGGTGGAGAGGAAGAATTACAGCTAAATATACAGCTAGATAGCTAGATGACAGGTAGCTAAGTAACTAGATAACATACTTATGATGGACTATTGATAATAGATAGATGGATGGAGGGATGGATAGATAAATATAATCTACCAATTACCAATATTATAAGCTTACTGGTGATTTGTATATACTTCATTTATTTATGACTTCTTAAATGTTTTCTAAGATGAACATTATTAATTTTAGAAAATAGGAAATCAAAAACTTTTTAAACTTTCTGTTCCAAAGCTGGAGAATTTCAAGTGACAAACAGGCCAAGAATGAAACCATTTCTGAGTGGCTTAGGAAGTGATAAGAAAAATGCAACTGATTATCAAGGAACTGAGAGAGCAGCATTTTCTATATGATTGCATGGACATTGTTATCACTCAGGTCAGTGACAGGAACTGGGGATTAGAATAGGAAACCTGTGAAATGATCAGTAAATCCCGGGTGAATATGGAGAAGTAGCTTGGAGGTTAAGCAAATGTAGAGAGGTGCCTAACTTAATAGAAAAAGAGGTGCTTGCACACATGTAAAAAGTATAATACTGTGGGAGGCCGAGGCGGGCGGATCACGAGGTCAGGAGATCGAGACCATCCTGGCTAACACGGTGAAATCCCGTCTCTAGTAAAAATACAAAAAATTAGCCAGGCGTGTTGGCGGGCGCCTGTAGTCCCACCTACTCGGGAGGCTGAGGCAGGGGAATGGCGTGAACCCAGGAGGCAGAGCTTGCAGTGAGCCGAGATCGCCCCACTGCACTACAGCCTGGGCAACAGAAATTCATCATGAAATTACTGACTCAGAAACCTAGAGAAATACATCATCAGTTTATCTGCCAAACCTTGTAAAGGGCCCAAGAGCACTGTTATTCATGTTCTCAACTGTATTGATTAATAGTTCTCAATTCATTTTAGCAAACAATAAAGTGAGTCTAAGTGAGCATACTTTTTTTTTTCTTACCAGATGTTAAAATCAATCACGAAGCTACACAATTTAAAGGTCTTGTACAGGCATAGTAACAGACAGATCAGTGGAGCAGAAGAGAAAGTCCAGAAATGCACCAAAATATACCTAAGTATTTAATGTATGATAAGGTTATAGTTACATATCAGAGGAGAAAGTTTAGAGGGCTCAAAACATGATATTGATTAGCAGACTTAGTAATTAATAGCTATGTATGGAAAAGAAAAACATAAACTTAGAATCTTCACTCATTCCAGATTGCTTAAAGATTGAAATGTAAAATATAAATATAAATCATATTTTTCATCCATCAGATTGGCAAAGATTTAAAAAATGGTAATGAACTGGTATTTTCAAAGGTATTCCTAAGGATGCCACTGCTGAAGAAAGGGTAAATTAGCTCAATTTTTTATATATGTCACTTACATCATTAATCATTTTCTTGGGTTATCTATACACATTTTCTTATGCAGAGGGCATGATTTTTCTTGACCTTTAACATATATTAATAGAAGTAAATAGTCCCCTTGAAAATATTTTTTTTAACTCAGAAGAGAATTTTTTTTTTTTTTCTTTATTTTACTTTAAGTTCTGGGATACATGTGCTGAACGTGCAGATTTGTTACATAGGTATACATGTGCCATGGTGGTTTGCTGCACCTGTCAAACCATCATCTAGGTTTTAAGCCTCACATGCAATAGATATTTGTCCTAATGCTCTCCCTCCCCTATCCCCCCAACCCCCTACCCACCTACTGGCCCTGGTATGTGATGTTCACCTCTCTGTGTCCATGTGTTCCTATTTTTCAACTCCCACTTATGAGTGAGAGCATGCGATGTTTGGTTTTCTGTTCCTGAGTTAGTTTGCTGAGTATGATGGTTTCCAGCTTCATCCATGTCCCTGCAAAGGATTTGACCCAGCAATCATTACTGATATATACTATAATCATTAATGATATATACCATTACTGGGTATATATCAAAAGGATTATAAATCATTTACTATAAAGACACATGCACACGTATGTTTATTGCAGCACTATTTACAATAGCAAAGACTTAAAACCAACCCAAATACCCATCAGTGATAGACTGGATAAAGAAAATGTGGCACATATATACCATGGAATACTTTTGTTTATTATAATGTTATCTGATATTGAGTATTGAAAAACAGAAAAAGGACAAACAAGGAAAAATGGGAAAAAATGTTTTTAAAGGTTCTAACTTCTCTAAGCTGATATAAATTATCACTCCAGGGTATATTCTTTTAGAAAATTTCTCTACAACAAATCCACATGTACACTACTTTTTTCTTTTCTTTTCTTTTCTTTATTTTTTTTTGTGAGACAGAGTCTCACTCTGTCACCCAGGCTGGAGTGCAGTGACACAATCTTGGCTCACTGCAACCTCCGCCTCCTGGGTTCAAGTGATTGTCCTGCCTCAGCCGCCCAAGTAGCTGGGACTACAGGTGCGTGCCACCACACCTGGCTAATTTTTGTATTTTTAGTAGAGACAGGGTTTCGCCGTGTTGGCCAGGCTGGTCTCAAACTCCTGACCTCAGGTGATCCACCTGCCTGGGCCTCCCAAATTGCTGGGATTACAGGCATGAGCCACCGCACCCGGCCTACTTTTTTCAAAATGAGATCGTGGTATTCATACATTTTATAACATATAACATTCTTTTTCATTTAAAAAAATGTTGTGAAAATCTTCCAATAGATGCAGTTCTGAAGCCTTTTTATTTCTTCATAGCACTCTATTTTATCGACATACAACATTTAACTGATGTCTTTTCCTGGGATGGCTTCCGACACTTTTCTATCGTAAACGATGTTACAGAGAATCCCCATGTGCAGACTCGTACACACACTCACCATTTGGAGACAGGCACGCCACTTTTAAAAGTAGCTGGTGGTGTGTACAACATCCTTCAGTAACCTTCTTTGGCATTTCAGCCAATTTTTATTGATACTGGCAAATTGGATTGCAGTCTTTGTTAGTTGGGTTCTTTACTGGGATCTATATGTAAAACAGCATTAGTGTAAGTTAGTAATTAATAAGTTCGTTCCACTTTTGCCAAAGTGGACAGCACATTTTACTGGAAATAATAATGTACTTATTGGTAAATCTAACCCCACTGAGTACAGTGTGTTCACACAGTCACCATCTACTGAGAATTAACAGAACTGTCTGAGAATTTGAAATCAACTAATTCTTAGCATAGTAATGTTTGCCAGAAGTCAGGATTTATTTTGCTTATATTTTAAACCCTTAAATAAACATTCCAAGATTTAAGATCTGGAAAATTCCAAAATAAATATGAACAGTAGAAGCTACAGAAAAATGCTGTTGAGTTTTTCAAAACTATGGCTTTTTTTTTAGGTAAGTAAAGTGAATTAGTAGGTGTTTCCCTGTTCTATTTACTAATAGAAATCGATACTTGCGATAACCTCACTAATCTTCACATCTTTTATCCAATTTTATCCATTCATACTATAAATGATTATTCATTACCTTCCACTCTGCAGGGAGATGGCAAAACCAAACACACATATATTCTCTCTCTTCCTCTCTCTCTCTTCCTCTCTTTCTGACACACACACAAACACACACACACACATATCAGATGTTAAAGAAGTTCACATAAGCTCCTAATGTATACAGTTTAGAAAAAAGTAGAGCAAGGTAGGAACGCAGCTAATTTGCGATATGAGGACACTGTAAGACTGAGGGGCAGGTTCTACTAAGGAATGAATTTGCATAAGCCACACAGCAATCCCTTGCGGAAGAACACATAGCAAATAACAAAGTGAGCATGAGAATTCAGTTATCTCATAAACCCTACTCAAGTGCAGAACATTCTCCTCTGAATTTTGCAGTAAAGAACTGGCAAGCAAAATATTGGAAAATAAAACAAATAGCACACATATGGGAAACGATAGCAGGTGAGAGGCAACATTTTCATTTTGTGAGGCTTGAACTGGTCTTTCTGTCCTGGAAAGAAGGACTTCTCATAAGAATAAACTGTGCTTAGAGGGGAAGAAGCTGGCTAAAGACACGAGAACAGTTTACCGACTGCCAATGACTTGGAGACAAGATTGAAGGCTGAGAGGGAAGAGTCAACCAGGAAATAAGTAGAGGGTATATACAGTTTAAGGGTAGTTAGAATTTAAAACAAATGAAAAATACAAGGGTTGAGAAGGCTAGAGATGCTATTTGAGGCAAAGTTAACTAATAATGTGTGTGGTCATTTAATGTGTGAGATTTTTTTAAACAGGTGGAGAAAAGGAAGATGACAGAACCAGAGAAGGTATAGATAGATGTTATTCAAAAAAAAAAAAACAACCCCTGCTTTCTACAACACACCGCCATTGACTCCAGCAGAGATGCTGCTGGATGTACCAGAGATTTGAGCTGGAGAATAACCATTTAGGTGAGAAGAATTCTTGGCCTTTGAGCCAAACCTATTCATTTTCCTAACAAGAAACCTGAAGTCAGTGAGGCCAAGTTACTTTTGAAAAAACTTCCACTACCAGTTAATGCCAAAGCAGGAAATCAACTCAGTTCTGTCTCTTAATTGTATTATTTTGGTTTTATTTTGTTTTGTTTTGCTGCAAATCTCTGCTCCAGTTATAGCTTTTCTCATTTGTGAAATTTAGGCAGAAATGTACAAGGGCCAAGGCCAGAGATTTGTCAGTGTAGTCAGAAGGAAGGTGGCATCTCCCAGCAATGTGATAGAGGATTGGCCTCTAATAAGCCTGAGTGTTTGGAGCTAAGGCTCATGTTAAAAGAAAAAAAAAAAAAACTCATGCCAGACAATTCAGAAGTTCCTCTTACAAAACAAATTTCTCCAAAGCCATCTGTTCCCTCCATTTCTGGATAGAAAAGAAGGATAGAGCTTGCCATGTTTATACACAGGAGGAAGTGGTTGGAACCAGATTACCAAGTGAGTCATGATCAACTTACACTTCCCTTTATCACTTCTTGTCAAAGCTTAATTTCAGAGCCAACTGTGTGTCACACTCGTGTTTTCTTCAAAAGCCCTACGTGCGTATTAATCACAGTTCTGTACTCCTTACTGTTGCTCTAGTTGTGTTGCAGCATTGTACGGTTTACTTCCGGTGAACTTCAGATGACACTTCAGCAAACGTTGTCTTCTACGTGAGAATTAGATACTCAGGAGACCTCCAGGTAGATTATTTGAGCTCAGGCTAACAAGAGGCCTGACTTTTATTGCATTGAAGCCTAATAATCTGTGCTATCACTCCTGGGTTCTGTCTAGCTCAGCTCAAGCCCATTCTTAAAGGTTTTTTACTGTCCAGACAGGATCTTCGGTGGCTTGGATCAAAACCTCTTATTAAGTTGCAGAGGATCTGTTTTGGCAAAATTAGAAAGATAGCAATGCATACAAAAGCATAAATTTAGCCCCAATGAGATACTGTAGCAACAATTTATAACACCACGTTGAAACCGAGAGTGTTTCTAAGTATTTTCACTGTGCTGTGTGAAACATTGTGATTTTTGAGACATTAAGAGTTTTATTGCTACCAAAAAAGGCAAGGGGTGGGGGAGGGTGGTGTCATTGAAAGTACCATCTAAGCAATGACAAATTCTCAGAAACTTTAAGGTGTTTTGAAAGCTAAACATAAAATGCTAAGCCCCACAGCTGACTGAACAGATTCCCTGTTGGCCAAGAGGACCTCAGAGAAACCTTAAAACCTAAGTCACGATGGAATGGAAGGTCAGACACACTCTGTTGTATCTCCTGCCTTTTGCCTTAGACATAACAACTGACCAGCATTAATGTTAAAATAGAGATTATAAGACTGACAGAATGGACTCTTTGTGGCAATAAGATACTAAATTATAAATGAGACCTAAGGTCATGTAGGCAAGGGTTAAGTCCTGCACTCCTACACTTAAAGAATAAACTATGTTGTAACTGCTACAAGGCTTTTCTTTTTCTCTAGCAGCTAATGGAGCACTAGCCTTGAGATAAGCAATATCAAAACATATGCAGCTCACCAACCATCAGACCCTGACTCATAAGCCCCTGTTCCACCAGGGTGGAATGTGAACATGGGTGGTAGGTAACATGCACGTTTATTCAGTACACATGCATCAGGATCCCCTTCATGGATATTAATAGCTCCTCCTATAGCCTGTTGAATCTGAATACTTAGCCAACCTATTCAGCACAAATCCCTGTTCCAACCCCTGCTTCAGAGTGCCTGCCTTTAGGGCTCTGCTGGAGGCTACGCTTCCTGGCCTATCAGAAGGGTCACCTTGCAGGCTGTAACTCTTTACAAGAAATAAAGTCTTCTTTCCAAATGTATAGATGTCATGATTTTTTCAGTTGAGTTACCTTTCCTGGTGACAAACCAAAATAATACATAGAATTTTCAGAAGATATTTGATCATAGAACTATTTCTGGTAGAAAAATGTTTACTATCTGTTCTAATTCTTTATGGCAGCCAGTCAAACTACCACACACACTTTAATATACTCATCAAACAAACATTTATGAGTATTGTATCCCTCACAGTTCCAGAATGTGCCTGGGTTTAGCCAGGACTTTCTTGCCTAGAGCCTCTGGTGCAATTGTCATTAGTCGGCAGTTGGGTCTGGAAACATCTAAAGGCTCACATTTTCTCATATGTCTGGTGGTAACTGCGGCTGCTGCCTGGGACCCAAGCCAAGCCAGGCGCCATCTGGGCCACCCTCACAAAGGTGCTCCATGTGGCCTGGGTTCTCTTTAGACCCTGGCATCTGAGTCCTAAGGGCAAGTGTCCCAAGACAGACCAGGTGGAAATTGTGTCGTCTTTTATGTTCTACCCTCAAAAGCCATGCAGTGTCAGCCAGGCACAGTGGCTCACGCCTGTAATCCCAGCACTATGGGAGGATGCCAAGGCAGGCGGATCACGAAGTCAAGAGATCGAGACATTCCTAGCCAACATGGTGAATTCCAGTCTCTACTAAAAATACAAAAATTAACTGGGCGTAGTGACATGCGCCTGTAGTCCCAGCTACTCGGAAGGCTGAGGCAGGAGAATCGTGAATCACTTGAACCCAGGAGGCAGAGGTTGCAGTGAGCTGAGACAGCACCACTGAACTCCAGCCTGGGCAACAGAGAGAGACTCCGTCTCAAAACAAAACAAAAGCCCTGCAGTGTCATTCTCACCACATACTATTCATTAGAAACAAAACACTAAGTCAAGTTCACATTCAAGGGAGGAGGAATTAGACCAATGGTCCCCAACCTTTTTGGTACCAGAGACCAGTTTCATGGAAGACAATTTTTTCACTGCGGAACAGGGGCATGGAGGTGGGGGGCACAGTTCTGGGATAAAACTGTTCCACCTCAGGCATTAGATTCTCATAAGGAGTCTACAACCTAGATTCCTCGCGTGCACAGTTCACAATAGGGTTCACACTCCTGTTGTTCCCCAAACCATGCCAGACCCAGCTGTGTTTTCTCGAGGCCCAATAATGAGAAGCAGACAAGGAAAGAAGGAAGTTAATTACTGTAACTAGATACAGGGAGAAGGCTGGAGATAATTCCACCAGACCAACTCAAAGCATCACAATTTTGCGAGTGCTTATGTAGGCTGGGATTATGTGCCTACGTACAGTATAGCATTTGCCTAAGTCTATTGTTAACTAATTTTGTTTTAACTAGAAGGTCAGAAGCAAAAAAATACTAAGTTCGATTAAAAGGGCCCCAGTGCCTTCAAGGCCTGTCTGCTGTGGTACTGGAGTGATTATTTCCATCATATCTCCTTTACAGCTTGGTCCTGAGGGCTGCCTTAGACTCTCCGATGAATCTATTCAAACAGCTGTCTCTGTTACCTTGACTTGTCTCAGATTTTGTCGACCTAAGATTGGTCCTGGCATTAGGAATGTAAAACTGTTTCTATTATTTTGACTTGCTCCAGCAAGGGAGAAGCCCATGCAAGGCTACTACTGGCCGTATGTTTCATTTCTGGCTTTGATGTCTGGGCACCGATTTCCCTAGGTTTAACTATTTGCTCAATGTTAAGGCAGCACTGTGGAAATTTGTGTAACTGGGTGCTATGCAGGCCTGTCTGTGTGATTATCAGGGAGAATTGGCCTGCCACACTAAGATCAGTGGCTGCATTAGATTCTCAAACAGCAGGTGCAGCTCAGGTGGTAATGCTCACTCACCCACAGCTCACTTCCTGCTGTGCAGCCTGATTTCTAACAAGCCACCGGCCAGTAATGGTCCATGGCCCGGGGCTGGGGACCGCTGAATTAGACTACTCCTCTTAACGGGAAGAATGTCAAAAATTTGAGAATATGTTTTTGAATCATCACATCATTTTAGGCAGTATTTCTCAGAAGATAGTTTGGGAAACTCTGAAACTACTTTTAGTAAGAGTCCAGAGTCTGGAGTACTACAGTACTAATACTTCACATTTGAGTCTTATTAACTTATTAACTAAAGCAAAAAAAAGGGCTAAACAAAAAGACAGGGATACCTAGTTGATTTATCACACCCTGTGATCCTGTGTCATATCATACAGAATGTATGAGAGCTCAGTTCTACTTCCAAGTAGGCTGGACTTAAGTTTCCCAGGAGCTGACCAAACCCAAAATCTACCTGGACTCTTCCTGTGCTTTGAACCCTGTATCCACAGTGACCACACATCTGAGTTTCCCTGGGACGGTCCTGGTTTTCTCCTGTTGTTCTGGCCTGTTGATAGAATTGTGTGTCACAGTAAATTATGTAGTGGCTCTCCTAAGCTCTCAATCTAGTACTTTTCATGGCAAAACCGCATTACTTTTGCACCCACCTAATACTGGCAAGCCGTTCTATTCACCTGTAGTTTCTATACCATGCTCATCCCGACTTCCATTTACATTGCCATGCCTGGACTTCTGCAATTTTCCAGTCTGCAAATTCTCTCCTCCAGAGCATTCTGTACTCCCCATTCAGATGGATCTTTCTGAAACATCACTTTGATTGTTCTTGTAAGTCTTCAGCAACATCCCTGCCTCTGACTACACCCAGCTCCTCATGGCAGTCTTACTGCTGTCCCACCCAAAGGTTTAGTCAGTCCCATGCAGCACTTGAGTCCATCTTAAATAATATGGGATCCAAAAAACAGTCTCTGCTCCTCTCCATATTTAGCAGATGTGAGAAGGAAACATGACCCTTTCTAGACCCAGGAATAAGTGGTCCTGTCTTGCCTGCTGGATTGGTATGATATTCTCTGAGTTTCTTTTGCTGTCCAGAACTGTTGTTGCCAGAGGAGATTTCTGGATACAAGTTATATGGCTGATAGAACACCTTCTCTATCCCTAGTCATTTTTCTGGTGTTTTCTGATTTGACGGATTTTTTTTAATAGAGGTGTCCTGATGCCTTCAGGCCCACCTTAAGACTTTTCTAGATCTAAGACAGTGCAGAGGGTTTTGCCAGCCATGTACAGTTCTCAGAAATAACAACTGCCTCCCTGTCCTCTGGCCTAAATCTGAAAACTCACCTTTGCCTAAATTCTTTGCTACTTGGTTCTAAATACCTGATTCCTTGGCCACCTGAATCTTTTACAATTGCCCACTGTCTATCCCATCTGCACCTCTAGAGTCAGTGCTAGAGCTGAGCCACTTTCCTGACCCCCTGAAGTCCACTTATAGACCCAGTTTCAAAATCAGTATTCTGAAGCATACACTGATTCCTGGTACCAAAAGGAATCTATGATAAGCTTGGCAAGGAGGTTGTTCCAACCCTGTGTTGTAATTCCCATCATAACGCCCTCAAACTAACCAGGCAGGACAGAAGGAGGCGTTGAGTGCAGCAAGCCCCCTACATCTATTACCTTTGTCAGGAAGACATGCTCAGTCAGGGAGCTGGTCCTGGAACATTTCACCCATTTCCTAGAACACTGTCTTCCTAAACTGCATTTATTTAGTAATTTCAAAGCTGAGAGGTTCACTACAGACAGTGAGGAAGCTGAGTAAGTGAACAGACTTGGACTTGAAGATTTGGGTTTTAGCCTCAGAACAACTAGACTGTGTGAGCTTAGGCGATTCAATTAACCTTTGTACATTTCAGTTTTCTCCTTTGTAAAAATAACACAGCCAAGCAAGATGATTTTTTTTTTTCCTGAGATGGAATCTCACCCTGTTGCCCAGGCTGGAGTGCAATGGTGTGATCTCGGCTTACTGCAACCTCCGCCTCCTGGGTTCAAGCGATTCCCCCACCTCAGCCTCCCGAGTAGCTAGGATTATAGGCACGTTCCACCACGCCCAGCTAATTTTTGTATTTTCAGTAGAGATGGGGTTTTGCCATGTTGGCCTGGCTGGTCTCGAACTCCTGACCTCGGGTGATCCACCCGCCTCGTCCTCCCAAAGTGCCGGGGTGACAGGTGTGAGCCACCATGCCCAGCCGTAAGATGATTTTTAATTTTCCTTTCTGCACTTGTGGACATCGCCACAAGAAGGTGAGATTAGACCTGGGACTGGAGAGTCTGTTAGGATTCACAAACAGGAAAAAGAATCAATTCTACATTTTTGATGAGCCTTTATTAAGTCTCCAGACTATGTTAGAAACTGGCTTTAAGTTTTTCCATAAAGAAACAGACATACAAATTTCACTGTGTTTAGAGTTTGGGCACGGCGTTTTGGAATAAGCATGCCTTCTATTTAGAATACGTTGTAGAATAGAGAACATCTATTGGAAATAGACGAGTCACCAAGATATTTTTTCCATCCTATTGTTTTTGTAGAGTGATACTCTCAGGCAAGACACATCAATCCATAGATACTTCTGTTTTATACGAGTATTTCCAGAATGTCACACTGGAGAATTCTGGGATCCTTCTTTCTCTTACTTTTTAAAATTTAACTCTTTATCTTTCCAAAGGAAAAATGTTAGGTTTTTTTCACCCTAATAGACACATCCAGCTGTGATTATTAAGGTGATGACAAAATAATCTTAAGGTAATGCTACTTCTTTATAAACTAAGTACATACACATCCCCCAAATAGATACATGCCACCCCCCGAATAGATACAAAAATGAAGCCAAACGTCTCTCTTGGCATTGAGGAGCTCACAAAGAATTTATATGTTCTTTGTATTTATGTATGTATGGTATTTATAAATTTATACTATCTATACTCTATATACTAATTTATAGTACTTATAGATGCATTTATAGTATTACTACCCGTGAAATAGTAATATAATGATAATATTTTCCTTTTATATAGCTATTTGTCATTTTACAAAATGTTACTACCATTTCTTCATTTAATTTGACCTAAGTTAATGGGATAAGTATTTCATAGTGAAAAGTGAACTTTGCTTTGCCTCTATAGGTTAAAAGAGACAATGAAAATCAAAGCAAAGTTCTGGTCACTTCTTTTCCTTTTTTCTCCTTATTTCTTTCCTGTGTTCCACATATCCTGTGTGAGTCTAAGATATCAAATATCAAGGCATTAATGCATTTCTCATTCTACATCCTGCTTGTGGAAACAGTAGCTCACACCAGCAAGTTCATTTTCAGCAAATGGCTGTGTTGAAAAATCCAATATAATTCCCATTCTCACAGTGGAGGGAGACTGTCATTTGCCCAATAAGCGTTCTATGAAGCTATAATATCTTGGTAATGAAAACAAGAGACTGGATTTTCTTGACACATTTTCAGGCATGTCACAGAGCCAGTGCCAAACTAACGGGGAGGCAGCATAAAACCAATTGTAAAAAACACACAAGAACTGTGGCTTGACTCTAAGCCAACCCAGTTTCAACATAAAATCAAAAGTGCTGGAATTGTATGAAGAATCTCAAAGTAATTCTGTAATTTCATGAGAAAATTTACAAAGTTGGAAATTAGTTCTCTTAAGGTCTATGTTCTCATAATTCCAGGCTCAAACTGCTTTAAAATGTGTAAACTCTGTTAAATGGCTCTCCCATCACCACCTCCAGTAAAGTTTTAAACAGCAAATGACTCCGTAGCTCTGCTTGCACTGAATCTTTTTGTTAACTAATTGCTGTTACTAGTAATAATCATGGAGAAAAATTGCTCATGTTTCATAAGTGAGCTAATCTTATGATATTTCTGGAAGAACCACCAAAATGAACATTGAGCTAAATATGTAGGGCTTGCCAATCACAAAGAAAAAAGATAAAATATAAGAAACACATGGTGACATTGTAGGGTAGAAATCTATGTACTTCTTGTATTTATTTCCTTTTTTTCTTGCTGAAGATGCCATCACTTTATCTGGGCTTAAGAATAATGTAAAAGCAAGCCAAGAATGTTTTTATAATCTCTCTACTCTGTCACCAGCAATTTTCCCTCCAGTCATTCCATTTTTGGGGTGGCTTTTTTCATTTTACCTCAAGTCCTGAATGTCTCTGTGAATTTAGTGATTATTTATTGATTACCCGCTAGATATAGGCAGTGTGCTAGGAACTTTCAATAAAATCGAAATAAATGGGACATAGTGCTTGCTGTAGCTTAACATTAAGATGAGTTTTAAAATACACTTCAGATAGGATTTAACAGTATCATAAAGAGATTCACACCACACTAGCTATTTGTTTAGTTCCAGGGCAAAAATTGCATATCAGATTGCAAAATAAATGAACTCATTTCTTCTCATAAATACAGTGTCATTAACTGGAACAATTTCTAGTAATTTATTTCATACTAATTTTTACAAAATATCCATACCACTAAACAATGACAATAAAGAATCATGTGTGTATATCTAATAGTTATTGCATGGGCCAGACTGATTAAATAATTTTTAAATATGAATCTAATTGCATTTAGACTAAATATGGCTGAGTGGGTGATTGAGATTGAAGCATTATTAGGTAATTGATAATGCCATTAATAGAAACAAAAAGTACTGGAAAATGAATGTGCTTGAGGGAAACAAAATGAGTTCAGTTTTAAATATGAGTTTGGTGGGTGTGACCACCAAACAACTGAAAATGCAAGAATGGGTTTCAAGAGAGTGGTGTTGAACACACAAATTTCGTAGTTATGTACATATTACAAGTGGTAGAAATGGATTATGGCCTTATGGGAGAAATTGTAGGAAGAGAAGATAGCCATGGAATGGATGTATGTAAAATCGCACTTAGAGGCTAAGGAAGAATAAAAGAGTCACTGAAAGAGTGAAATGCAAGACACAAATGAGAGCAGCCTTTGTCTCAGAGGACAAAGGGAATGCTGGCATCATAAAGGTAGGAATTGTTAACTGAGGAAAATGCAGCCAAGAGGTCACAGAAAATGAGGCTTGAAAAGGGGACAAAGGGAGATAAGAGGTAAAAGCAAAAAAGGATGAGAAGATGCTACTAAGAAGATGTGGGATACTAGTAAAAGAGAGATATGGTAGGCTGGGCGCAGTGGCTCATGCCTGTAATCCTAACACGTTGGGAGGCTGAGGCTGGCAGATCATTTGAGGTCAGGAGTTTGAGACCAACCTGACCAACATGGGGAAACCCTGTCTCTACTAAAAATACAAAAATTAGCTGGGCGTGATGGCAGGCACCTGTAATCCCAGCTACTGGAGAGGTTGAGGCAGAATTGCTTGAGCCCAGGAGGTGGAGGTTTCAGTGAGCCGAGATTGTGCCATTGGACTCCAGCCTGGGCAACAAGAGCAAAACTGCATCTCAAAAAAAAAAAAAAAGCGAGAGAGGGAAAGAGAGAGATGGTAATATAACTAGAAGCAGGGTGAAGGAGAGTTTATATTAGGATGGTGAAAACAGAATGTTTCTGAAGGCGGCAAATCAATAAATAGAGATTGAGGAGGCTGGACAGAGAGCGGGTAATGAAATAGTAGGTTACACAGAAGGAGGAGATAGAATTCAGTCAAGTTCATCTTTAAGAGAAATTTTTGGTGGGAGCAAGGAGAGATAAGAAGGATGAAAGACTAGGGAAATATGTGGATAAAATATAGAAACATTAAAGGGACATCCCATCAGATGGACCCACAAATAGAGAGCAGACCATCTACTTACAGCAGCTGAAATGGGAGAAAAGTAGAGATTTGAAGAAAGTAGAAAAGTTATGAAACAGCAATTTGGACAACGCAACAAGGAGGCCACAAAAGTTGAAATAATTATGGGACAGCAATGAGTACATCCTGGCATTGAATATTCCAATAGGAGAAGCATCTGTGAAATGCATACCGCATTCATGCTTGGTGGTAGAAGAAAAGAAAGTAAACCCTGTGAATTTTTCTAGGTTGAGTAGCAAATGTTTACAGTATACTTTCCCATAAAATAATCAAATTTTTTGTTCTAGTAAAAACTATAGGATATATCCTTCACCCAAAACAAACAACCCCATCAAAAAGTGGGCAAAGGATATGAACACACTTCTCAAATGAAGACATTGAAGCAGCCAAAAAACATATGGAAAAAAAGCTCATCATCACTGAGATACCACAATGAGACATCATCTTATACCAGTTAGAGTTGCGATCATTAAAAACCCAGGAAACAACAGATGCTGGAGAGGATGTGGAGAAATAGGAACGCTTTTACACTGCTGGTGGGAGTATAAGTTAGTTCAACCATTGTGGAAGACAGTGTGTCCATTCCTCAAGGATCTAGAACTAGAAATACCATTTGACCCAGCAATCCCATTACTGGGTATATACCCAAAGGATTATAAATCATTCTACTATAAAGAGACATGCACACATATGTTTACTGTGGCACTGTTCACAATAGCAGAGACTTGGAACCAACTGAAATGCCCATCAATAATAAACTGGATAAAGAAAATGTGGCACATAAACACCATGGAATACTATGCAGCCATAAAAATGGATGAGTTCACGTCCTTTGTAGGGACGTGGATGAAGCTGGAAACTATCATTCTCAGCAAACTAACACAGGAACAGAAAACCAAACACTACATGTTCTCACTCATAAGTGGGAGTTGATCAGTGAGAACACATGGACACAGGGAGGGGAACATCACACACCGGGGCCTGTTGGGGGGTGGGGGGCTAGGGGAGGGATAGCATTAGGAGAAATACCTAACATAGATGATGGGTTGATGGGTGCAGCAAACCACCATGGCATGCATATACCTATGTAACAAACCTGCACATTCTGTACATGTATCCCAGAACTCAAAGTATAACATAGTATACTAAAAGTATAATAAAGTATAATAACAATAAAAAACTATAGGACAAGTAATATTCCTCCTTCACAAACAAAGGAACTAAAGTTAACAAAAATTAAGTATGAATCAGATAAGCCAAAATTTTAATGGGATATTTGTTAGGCACCTTGACAATGGTTGAAAGAGATTCCAGTTAAGTGGAAATACAGAAGGAAGAAAGGACTGCAACCTCAAGTGTCAGTAAGATTTGGGAGTAGGATATTGTGAAGTCCAGTCATGTTAACAGTTGGGAGGGGGAAGGCAACACAGAAAGAAATGGGGCTATGTCTGCACTGTGGTTTCAGATATGTTGGTGGAAGTAGTGCTTCTGCTTGGACTTTGCTACCCAATGTTCCATTCTTGTTCAGAGATGACTTCCAACTAATCCCTGTAAGTGTATTAATACTATAACTAATAAAAGTAAGTAATCAAGACTTAGCAAAAAAAAGATTTGCTATTTTTGAGGAGACTCTACTTTCTTCCTTATTGTGTTGAATCATGCAGCCCTATTCCCACACAATTTTTTTATTCCTCAATTGTGGAGCTTATAGACATATTTCCTAGGACTCATCAACCACACCTGGCCCAACTACTTCCAACTGTAGCAGCTTTCTCAGCATGGAGGAAAATACTGATAAGGGCTGCACATCACCCTACGTCCCTACATCACTCTTCATGTGTTACCACTTTCACCTTCAAGAGGAACGAAGTAAAATACCGGACAGCTATTTCCAAAGAATTTGCCAATTCCTATTTATATTCCTAAAGTTAACAGTTTTGGCTAACGTTTAATCTTAGAATAAGCTACACTATTTTATTTTTATTAAAGATCAGTGATTAACAATGGCATTTAAAGACTGTGTTAACAACCAAACCCTATCTTTGGCTTTAAAGATCTGACAGCTTGATGTTTTATTGTGCCTGTGTGTGTTTAACCTCTAACTGCAATGTTTCTGGAACTCGAAAGAAATTAAAGATCAATAATCCACACTTTCTGTAGAAATACAGTATATTTCATATGGGCAGTTGAGACAATGATCAAGGCTAGTGGTCTCAACTCTGTCCATTAGTGTCACCTGGAGAGCTATTAATAAACACCAATGCTCAGACGTCACCCCAAGCAAATTAAATCATATACTCCAGGGGAGAAACCCAGACTTTGGTGTTTGTTAAAAACTCCCCCAAGTGATTCTAAGATTCAGCCAGGCTTGAAGATCACAGATCTCAGCTTTTCAGTTCATAAGTCCACTTGGTTAAAATACCTCGGTTAGGAAGAATTTTCCATTTAGATGATTGTCTTCTCTGCTTCTTCACTTCTTTTTGTAAATCCTCCCTTCTCCTTGAGTAAATTGTTCCCATTTTCTTGTTTCATCATTATAACTCTTTCCCTGGGTATTGTCAAATAATTTTATAATAGGCAGTGACTCATTTTTGATAAATGTTGAAATACAGCAAAAGCTTATTCATTAAGCTTGTCTGAGAAAGCCACCCACTGGAAAATTGAAAACAAAAATCTAAGAAAATCTGGTTTGTAGTGCATTAAGAATAAGTTGTCTTACAGGAAAAGTTTACCAACACTTTGAGGAGGATTTAGGAAGGTTCAAGTATAGGCTTCTCTGACACTGTCCAAGTCTACAACATCAAGATCTAATATTACAATTTAGTCATCTTAACAATAAATATTTATTTGGAATCTATAATGAACAATCCAAAGTGGACTTAGTCATGTTAAAGAGAAACCTGATCATCATAAAAGACACAAGTGAAACCATTTCAGATTTATGTAGAACCTTTGCAGAAAGTGAAGAGAAACAAATCTCCACTGATTTCTATAAACCATTTTCTCATATCCAACTGTAATCTGTTGTAACTTGGACCTAGCATTTTGGTTCTAAGTACAAATTACTGACTTGGATAGGAAGAAAAAGCCATTTTCAGCCACTTTGGTGAACAGTTTTTAGACTTCAATTTATAATATGTTGCCAGTACTGTTGAACAAAATGTCTTAGTGGATTATTCTAATCCTTTAAAGTTTTATTTAACATAGTGTCTACTCTTTTAGTGAATTGACTAACTCATCACTGAATGAATGAATGAATAAATGAATACATGACTCAGAACAGGTCAATATAATAACTTTTATTTGGTGGTTCTTTCAGCTGCTGGCAAAATAACATGTATCCTGTTTTTCCAATAATTGAAAAAAACTTTCTGTACGTCTTATTTGGGTAGTAATACATAAGATATGGCAGTAATAGAAGTTCTTTAAATGAGTTTTAATAAAACTGGATGAGACATTTTGTTGTTGGTAGGCCATAAACTATCACTAGCAACCAATGCCCCGGTGTAACAGGCCTCTTTAGTTACATGCATCAAATCTGCCTTGCCCCAAAGGGTTATAATTTGGTGGGTTATACTATTCATAATGTGTGACTAAATTTAAAAGCAAATTATATATTAGCATTGTGTAGTCTCTCTCAATTCGGCATAAAAAGTTTATGTTATATATTCTAAGAAAACTGGAATTATAACAAAGTATGAATGGATAGGAATAAGAAAGATGTTTTTTCTTTTTTCTAATGTCTTGCTTTCAAATTATCTATGATAAGTTTGTATTACATTGAATAACTTGGTTCATTGTTTCTTATAATTGCTTGCCAAGTCACTTCTTGTTCTCCTCATTCACTTTATTTTAAATGCTACCATCCCCGGTGATGTCAATATAAACACTATGTCTCTTGTTGAGACTGTTTACCAGAGCTTCTCTTAACAACTCACTCCCTTTGCTCCTGCCCCTTTTTCCTTCCCACTCCCTCTTACACTTCTGGGAGGAAACACACACACATACACCCTCACACACACACACACATCCCTGACCCCTATCCCCACAAAAAAAAAAGAACCTCAAGAAATTGGTAGCTAATGAAAAATTAGCCATTAATAGGTTTTACAAATCTGTACCCAAAGTTATAATTTTTTAAAAGCAACTGAATGTCTTGAGATTAAAACAGGACAGATTTGAAACTGGAAGAAGGTTCTGACAAAATAAAATCAACTTCTTGCTTTCTTCTGTAAGAAGTTTTGCCTATTGAAAACTATTTCTAATATTGTATTTAAAAGCCATGTTAATGAAAGACTTTACAAAATTTACTGAATAATTAACATTTAGTAATAATTATTCTTCCTCTTATTAATCTGAATGAACTCACCTATTTATGAATTACTCGTGAAAATACTTAAAGAAAAACGTACTTAAAGAACAAAGTTGAATTGCGGCATCAACAAATAGCCCTCAATGAAACAGATATGCTGTAAGACAGAGAAGAAAATGTTAGCAAATATTTAATTTTTGTCCATTGGGTTATCTGAGCAACTATTACATCCTAAAATTAGACCATAATTTTCTGGGAGAAGAGAAAATCTCAAGGAAATTTCTAGAGAGGAAAAATATAATATCTACTGAAGTGCACTGAAGGAAGGATGCATTAGATTGGATACGAGAGGGAATTAGAAAGCAAGCTTGAGAAACATTTTTTTTAGAACTCAGAGGAGAAGTATATGCATTAAAGGAAAAGGAGAACAGAGAATTTATTTATCTGATACAATATAATAGGAAGTTAATATGAATGCAGAAAAATGGGAATAAAGATATGGCAGAAGTGTTTGTAATAGTTATAAATGGAAGAATAGTTATTAAAATGTTATTTAAAATGAGGACTAGTGAGATAATGGAATACTATGTAAATATTTAAATGACATTATAGAATCAACATTAGACAGATCAACGAGACAGAAAGTCAACAAGGATACCCAGGAATTGAACTCAGCTCTGCACCAAGCGGACCTAATAGATATCTACAGAACTCTCCACCCCAAATCAACAGAATATACATTTTTTTTCAGCGCCACACCACACCTATTCCAAAACTGACCACATAGTTGGAAGTAAAGCTCTCCTCAGCAAATGTAAAAGAACAGAAATCGTAACAAACTGTCTCTCAGACCACAGTGCAATCAAACTAGAACTCAGGATTAAGAAACTCACTCAAAACCACTCAACTACATGGAAACTGAACAACCTGCTTCTGAATGACTACTGGGTACATAACGAAATGAAGGCAGAAATAAAGATGTTCTTTGAAACCAACGAGAACAAAGACACAACATACCAGAATCTCTGGGACGCATTCAAAGCAGTGTGTAGAGGGAAATTTATAGCACTAAATGCCCACAAGAGAAAGCAGGAAAGATCCAAAATTGACACCCTAACATCACAATTAAAAGAACTAGAAAAGCAAGAGCAAACACATTCAAAAGCTAGCAGAAGGCAAGAAATAACTAAAATCAGAGCAGAACTGAAGGAAATAGAGACACAAAAAACCCTTCAAAAAATTAATGAATCCAGGAGCTGCTTTTTTGAAAGGATCAACAAAATTGATAGACCACTAGCAAGACTAATAAAGAAGAAACGAGAGAAGAATCAAATAGATGCAATAAAAAATGATAAAGGGGATATCACCACTGATCCCACAGAAATACAAACTACCATCAGAGAATACTACAAACACCTCTACGCAAATAAACTAGAAAATCTAGAAGAAATGGATAAATTCCTTGACACATACACTCTCCCAAGACTAAACCAGGAAGAAGTCAAATCTCTGAATAGACCAATAACAGGATCTGAAACTGTGGCAATAATCAATAGCTTACCAACCAAAAAGAGTCCAGGACCAGATGGATTCACAGCCGAATTCTACCAGAGGTACAAGGAGGAACTGGTACCATTCCTTCTGAAACTATTCCAATCAATAGAAAAAGAAGGAATCCTCCCTAACTCATTTTATGAGGCCAGCATCATTCTGATACCAAAGCCAGGCAGAGACACAACAAAAAAAGAGAATTTTAGACCGATATCCTTGATGAACATTGATGCAAAATCCTCAATAAAATACTGGCAAACCGAACCCAGCAGCACATCAAAAAGCTTATCCACCATGATCAAGTGGGCTTCATCCCTGGGATGCAAGGCTGGTTCAATATACGCAAATCAATAAATGTAATCCAGCATATGAACAGAGCCAAAGACAAAAACCACATGATTATCTCAATAGATGCAGAAAAAGCCTTTGACAAAATTCAACAACCCTTCATGCTAAAAACTCTCAATAAATTAGGTATTGATGGGACATATTTCAAAATAATAAGAGCTATCTATGACAAACCCACAGCCAATATCATACTGAATGGACAAAAACTGGAAGCATTCCCTTTGAAAACTGGCACAAGACAGGGATGCCCTCTCTCACCACTCCTATTCAACATAGTGTTGGAAGTTCTGGCCAGGGCAATTAGGCAGGAGAAGGAAATAAAGAGTATTCAATTAGGAAAAGAGGAAGTCAAATTGTCCCTGTTTGCAGACGACATGATTGTATATCTAGAAAACCCCATTGTCTCAGCCCAAAATCTCCTTAAGCTGATAAGCAACTTCAGCAAAGTCTCAGGATACAAAATCAATGTACAAAAATCACAAGCATTCTTATACACCAACAACAGACAAACAGCCAAATCATGAGTGAACTCCCATTCACAATTGCTTCAAAGAGAATAAAATACCTAGGAAGCCAACTTACAAGGGATGTGAAGGACCTCTTCAAGGAGAACTACAAACCACTGCTCAAGGAAATAAAAGAGGATACAAACAAATGGAAGAACATTCCATGCTCATGGGTAGGAAGAATCAATATCATGAAAATGGCCATACTGCCCAAGGTAATTTACAGATTCAATGCCATCCCCATCAAGCTACCAATGACTTTCTTCACAGAATTGGAAAAAACTACTTTAAAGTTCATATGGAACCAAAAAAGAGCCCACATCGCCAAATCAATCCTAAGCCAAAAGAACAAAGCTGGAGGCATCACACTACCTGACTTCAAACTATACTACAAGGCTACAGTAACCAAAACAGCATGGTACTGGTACCAAAACAGAGATATAGATCAATGGAACAGAACAGAGCCCTCAGAAATAACGCCGCATATCTACAACTATCTGATCTTTGACAAACCTGAGAAAAACAAGCAATGGGGAAAGGATTCCCTATTTAATAAATGGTGCTGGGAAAACTGGCTAGCCATATGTAGAAAGCTGAAACTGGATCCCTTCCTTACACCTTATACAAAAATCAATTCAAGATGGATTAAAGACTTAAACGTTAGACCTAAAACCATAAAAACCCTAGAAGAAAACCTAGGCATTACCATTCAGGACATAGGCATGGGCAAGGACTTCATGTCTAAAACACCAAAAGCAATGGCAACAAAAGACAAAATTGACAAATGGGATCTAATTAAACTAAAGAGCTTCTGCACAGCAAAAGAAACTACCATCAGAGTGAACAGGCAACCTACAAAATGGGAGAAAATTTTCGCAACCTACTCATCTGACAAAGGGCTAATATCCAGAATCTACAATGAACTCAAACAAATTTACAAGAAAAAAACAAACAACCCCATCAAAAAGTGGGCTAAGGACATGAACAGACACTTCTCAAAAGAAGACATTTATGCAGCCAAAAAACACATGAAAAAATGCTCATCATCACTGGCCATCAGAGAAATGCAAATCAAAACCACAATGAGATACCATCTCACACCAGTTAGAATGGCAATCATTAAAAAGTCAGGAAACAACAGGTGCTGGAGAGGATGTGGAGAAATAGGAACACTTTTACACTGTTGGTGGGACTGTAAACTAGTTCAACCATTGTGGAAGTCAGTGTGGCCATTCCTCAGGGATCTAGAACTGGAAATACCATTTGACCCAGCCATCCCATTACTGGGTATATACCCAAAGGACTATGAATCATGCTGCTATAAAGACACATGCACACGTATGTTTATTGCGGCATTATTCACAATAGCAAACACTTGGAACCAACCCAAATGTCCAACAATGATAGACTGGATTAAGAAAATGTGGCACATATACACCATGGAATACTATGCAGCCATAAAAAATTATGAGTTCATGTCCTTTGTAGGGACATGGATGAAATTGGAAATCATCATTCTCAGTAAACTATCACAAGGACAAAAAACCAAACACCGCATATTCTCACTCATAGGTGGGAATTGAACAATGAGATCACATGGACACAGGAAGGGGAACATCACACTCTGGGGACTGTGGTGGGGTTGGGGGAGGGGGGAGGGATAGCATTGGGAGATATACCTAATGCTAGATGACGAGTTAGTGGGTGCAGCGCACCAGCATGGCTCATGTATACATATGTAACTAACCTGCACAATGTGCACATGTACCCTAAAACTTAAAGTATAATAAAAATAAAAAAAGAATATCATGTAATGTATAACATGATGTGCTATTCATAATGTGTTGCTAAATTTAAAAGCAAGTTACAAATTAGCACTGTATGATCTCAATTCTGAATAAAAAAGTTATATGTTCTAAGAAAAACTGAAATTACAACAAAACATGAATAGTGGCCCTTAAATATGGATGGGAATAAGATGTTTCTTTCCTTTTTTTAATTACTTTTTTTGCTTTCAAATTATCTTTGATAAGTTTGTGTTACATTTTTTTATTTCAACCATGTTTTTTTTCTATTTTTGAGAGTAGAATTCTTAGAGTGACACAAATAAATGCTGAATTATTTCCTGATGACTCTGAATGGGAAAGCCAGATCCCTGTACATCTATCTGATTCTCTCAGGTTATTTAGGTAAGTTAAAAACAGTTAGAAAATATCACCTTGGTATTGACAGAGTGTTAGGTTAGAGATATATGTAATGTCTTGATGGTACTAATTGACTCTGAAGGCAGAATGTACTGGGGTGATTGGTTCTAATATACTAGAACAATCCTAGAAAGGTGTTTTTACTTTCCAAGTAGGTAATGGAATATTACATAGCAGATGACTGTTTGTTACAGAAGAGTCAATTATGGTAAGTGTAAAGCAACATAGAATAAATGACCACAATTACAGGCTCTGCTCATTCCCTTAGTCCCTTGATCCCAGTCTCATTCATCTGGGAACCTCTGAATTCTGGAAAATTCAGCAAAGATGTTCCTATGATCATTTAAACCCATTATCTGACATCCCACTAACTTGCCAAACATATGTTCCTTTAATTTTTTGGCTCCTGGGCAAACAAACTTGACTGTGCTATACTTCTTCACAATTCTGGGAGTGTTTATTGTACTTTTAACAAGAAGCTCTAGGAAAACTATTGATTTTTTTCTTCCTAAGTTCAGTATAGGAACTGACCCAATCAACAAAGCCTAATTTTTTAGCCCAAATTACTATTTAACACCTTTAAAAATTATGCTTGAACATTTAAAATGAAGGATTCTTAAAATCAACTGAAAAAAACTCAGAAGTTATCCAAAGATATTATAAAAACAAAAAAAATGAAATAAAAATCAACATGGTTTTCTTCAGAAATTAAAAAAATTGCTGTTATAAATAAGCAGTTAGAAATCCAATTAAAGCTACATTATTTCTACTTCTTTTGGGTGTACAACCAGTTAAATACGTATTTGACTGTAGTGTGAAAGGCACCGGTTGTGTGCTATGAGAGAATACAAAAGAGGCAAACATCCAAGTTTCTATGCTTAGTTATTTTCAAGAAAGCTGAAATAACAAGATGTAAACAATTTAAAAAAAAAAAAAAAGGTGTCTGGCAATGCAGGCAGTGTACATCAAGACCCAAGAAAATGAAATGGGCCTACAATTCTAATGAAATTCTGGAAAATAACATTTGGTTTGGGGGCTTGAGAAAGGCTTTTGGGTTCAGGTGCAATGTAAACTGGGTGCTATGATTTGAATGTTCCCCAAATTCCCCAAATGTCTCCCAAAGTTCATGTGTGAAAAACTTAATCCCCAATGCAAATGTTGACAGGTGGGACCTATAAGCAGTGATTAGGTCATGAGGGCAGAGCCCTCATGAATGGGTTAATGCTTCATCATGGGAGAGGTTTAGTCACCATGGGAGTTTGTTAGTTATCATGGGAGTGGGTTATTTATCCTGAGAGTGGGTTCCTGATGCAAGATGAGTTTGGCCCCCTTCTCTATTCTCTTGGTATCTCTCACGTGCATTCTCTTTCCCTTCCACCTTCTGCCATGGGGAGGCCCTCACCAGAGGTGGGCACCTCAACCTTGGACCTCCCAGCCTCCATTCTCCATAAATTACACCTCCCCCCCAGCTCTGTTCTCCCTAAATTATTTCTCTCCATAAATTACCCAACTTGTGGTATTCTGTTACAGCAACATGAAACAGACTAAGATACTGGGTGTTCGATTATAAGTAGGACTCAGAAACATGAAGCAGAATTTGGTTCCCGTTTCTGAAGAGTGGAGAATCGTGAGCAAGGTATTTTCCTTGGGAATGAGAAAATTGTGTCAGTTCAGATGAAGCACAGGGTTCATAGAGCAGCCTGGAGAAAAATGAGGCTTGAAAGAGTGAGTACAGCAGATTGTGAAAGTTGCCGAAAATATTGAGCTAAATACTTTTAATTCTTGTCACGTGGATAATGAGCATGTAAGGATGATACTGGAGCAAGGTCATGATATAATAAATTTGCTAGGTACCAGTTATATTTGAATACTACACCAGGTATAGAATACTATTGAAAACCTTGGAGTTTCATTGTTACCTCATATAGACATATTTGTATACCAAATTCCAAGAATATGATCCTGAGATGCTTTGAGTAAGCTTATATTTTTACATATTAATTCATATAACTAATGTATCAGTGCCATCTCAGAATCTACTTAATGATACACACTCCAAGCCTACTTTTCACCAGGTTTGAGATTAGCTTTTATATTTAACTTTTAAAATTATAAGATGTAGGAGCTCGGTCAGGGTGGTGGGAAAAGTTATACGGTAAGATGCAAACCTTCTTGGAAGGCCGGAAGGTTTTGCAAAGCTTGGGGAGAGAATAAAAGCTGAAGGCAACTAATTCCCCTACCCTGAGGCAGAGGGCAAGAAGTAGGTGCAAGGGAATGTAAAGGAGTTTATTTACTTATGTTGTCTGGAAACTGAACTTTGATCATCCACATGCCTGACTGCTCACTGTAAGTGGGGGGATAACAATATTAATTATCCACAGGTTGTGCTGGCTCCAGGCCTTTGTCATTAAATCTGCACTGAATAAACATAAGCCACTCCAGCTTATCAAAGCTGCACTCTGTCTTCAGTGTCTCTAAGCCGAGCAGTCCCCTAGCCACGCTCACACAAAATACCTGTGTCTGCATACCCCTTTCATCCATCGCTCAGCCAGAGTCTGCAGGATAGACTTGGCAATGAGACTTTGTGTTTATCTATTTAAATACATGTACACCTTACACTTAGTATATAGCAGGGCCCCCAAGGAATACTACATTTACCTAAATCAGAAGGAACTGTGGGAAGACTATACTATTGCTGTAATCATTGATGCTTCTAATAACAGGAAGGTGTTTTTAACAACAGAAAAATATTCTTTAAAAATGAGGAAAATGAGATAAACAGAAAACAAATAACAATGTTTAAATTTTTATAAAAAGCCAAGAATTGGAGACTGAGACACATACCATGTATGGATTGGGGACACGATCCTTTTTAAACTGAGGTCCCACACATTGTGTAAAATTGGCCAATTTTTTGAAAATCATTCTACATATGTCATGCAGTTCAAAAATCTTTAACAACAAATAATGAGATGAGCCAAACCACTCAGGAGAAGCAGCTGAGTAACAAAAACTGACATGCCAATACTTAGAAGGCTCACAGGCTTGGAAACCACTCCTTCCTTGTGGCACAGATTTTACTTAAAAAAAAATATATATGTATATATATTTACATACTATATATTTACATACTATATATATTTACATATTGTATATAATTGTGTCAAATGTAAATGATTAATCTCTTTTTGTACCACTAGAATAAGCCAAGGGAAATAAAGATCCAGTCCAAATTGATAGGGTCTGTATATTAAGTCAGTACTCTAATAAAGTCAGGAACAGAAGCAATAGTAACAGGCTGGAGTACAGGAGGGTATATGGATACAAATTAGGCTGGGCCTAAGCAAAACTCATGAGTCAAAAATGCATCTTGAATCTCTCAGGGTCCATAAGCCTATCCTCAAAGGTGGTAGGACCCATAGTGTAGCCATGCCTGCAAGCCAGCTATTCACCAGAAATCCCCAGAGGCCAGCTTCTCAAACCTGATTGGTCATCACCATCATCTAGAACTCTTCAAAAATACAGGTTTTCAGATTCCAGTCTGGATGATTTTCATTTGAAAAGGTCCATGATGGGGCCATGGCATCCATATTTTATAAACCTCTACAGAAAATCCAGTGACAAGCCAGGTGTGAGAACATCCTGCTTCAAGCTACTTCGCCCTCTATTTGTTCTTTGGACATAAATTCATTTTTTTGGTTTTCCGTCTGCTTATGCCTGGCGCACCTCCATCAAAATCTATTTTCCTGGCAGATGCATTCTCAGATCTTGGACCCATATAGAAATACAATTATCATTTTCTCTTTTATATCAACCACACAAACTCAGATAGGACTCTGCTTTTATTTTTTCCTATGATCCAAGGAGGAACATGAGTAGTAACTAGATGCATAACTTAGAAAATTAGGCCATGAAACAAAACTAAAGTCAAGAATTATATGAAGAGCAAATAAAATGCCAAGTAGACACGCAAGAACTAAAAAGTCATCTCACCTGAAGGAAGAAGCATAGCATCCAAAAATTCAGGCAGGGATAAATTGGAGTTTTTCAGGGAATGAAGACTACAAATAAGTAAATAAGACATAAACAGAGCCAAGAAGTGCACAGAAAGTGAGCTTAAGGTACAAAGAAATTTTTATAACTAAATCATCTTTTTATGTCCCCAATCAAAAGAACTTAATTCAAAAGAATCCTTCCTATTTGCCCACCAAGCTCCTTCCTACCGCTCTATTCTCCCAGCTTTGCCTCTTGTCATTAAACTCTGCAACCAGCTGCTACTTATCAATGAAGGTGAGACAGCCAGGCTTGTTTTTCTATTCTCCATTTACAAATTTGTAAGTATATCAGATTTTATTGAAGGCTTAAGTAAAATAAGAATAACAACCTAGGAGAGCAAGTACTTAAAACTGTAGTTTTATTCTTATGGCAAGAAACTCAAGAAATAGACTACTTCCCTAAGTAGGCGCCATACGTATTCACCCCAGTGCCTAAGCTTGCTCCATGGTTAGGATGAAAGAGGGCACTATGATTAGCCATCTGGACAAGGGGTATAACTTAGAACTCTCCTGGGCACTTGGCATGTGTGGTCACCCTGCCTAGAGTCCTTACCTTTGTGCTTCTTTGTGAAATTGACCCTTCCTTCTAAATTCTGCCATGTGACTCTCTTTCTGCGTTTTGGGCTTCACCATCACCCCCACAATGCACGTTCCTCCCTCATGAAGTGGATTTTTCCCAGTCTGAATTATATTTGGAAATACACATGTATAATTTACAAAATTTCATATATTTGGCAAATCAGGAGGAAAACATTGGTCTGGATCTCTAACTCCTTCTATAAACGGGCTTAGGGAAGCCAGTGACATTTCAAACTTAAATCAAAATCTTTTCCAGTGACTTATACTCTTTATTCTCCAACAAGTAACTAATCACAAGTAACCCACCCCCCAACACACACACACACATCTTTCCAGAAGGACAAATATCAAATCTCACATATTATAGAATGTAGAGCCCTAAGAATGAAAATAAGTATGTTTTTCTGTCCCATAATCTACCATGACGTTCTTGAACTGAGAGATAATTCTTCGTTGTCAGGGGACGCCCTGTGCATGGTAGAATATTCAGCAGCTCCTCTGGCCTCCAGCCACTAGGTGTCAGTATGACTACCCCTGTGCTTTTGTGACCACCAAAAATGACTCCAGACATTGCCAAATATCACCTAAGGAGAATTCTCCCCAGTTCATAAATACTGCTCTAGAGTTAAAACTTTACTATGAATAGAAGTTTTAGTTATTTTGGTTTTATTTCCTCGTTTTCAGAAAACCAATCCCTCAGACTTGAAGGTACCAAGAAATAAACACAATATAGGGCAGTAAGTATCTTAATGTACATTCTCTTAGTTACATAAAGGCACATTGAAACTATTGAAATGATCATTTGTAAACACCCAAGTGAATTCTTAGCAAAAAGCCATCTTCTTCCTGGTCTGTCTGGGGGAGAGATGGTAGGCGGTGGTTTCATTCCTGCAGTTACCTGATGTTCCTGTGGAAAAAGCTATAACCCTAATATAACTATATCAGGTTGAGTAAGTTATTGAGCACACCTGGCTGAGCTGCACAGAGTGTTTTCTGGAAGATGCATTTTAGCACCAAATCCTATTAGAATTCAGGTAGGGGAGGGACTAGTGTCTGGTTGGGCCATATCTACCTGAGCTGCCTATTTAGGTAGCTCATGAGAGAAAAGAGAATTATTTCTCTGCTAGGTAATTTACCTCTGCTATCTCAGGCTCTCAAGAATTTAGTAGTTTAGGACTCATTATTTTTGTTGTTGAAGAAATTTTGACTCAGAGAATTTCTAATGCAACTAAATCACCTAGTTAACAACTGTTGCATCTGGGAGCCATAGCCGATGTGATTCCTGATAAAAGGTCTTGATACTACAGAAGTCAATTCTTATAAATCTTACTCAAAATCTCCTAATTCAGAGAGGAGTAATAGTTGACAAAGTATTAGGTTGAGCCACAGTGGCACAGAGAAGGAGGTATAATTTGCCAATTGTTCCCCAGAATTCATTTTGCTATTCTTCTGCCAAAAGATTGTGGAGAATCCACCCTGCCATCATTATCCAGCAGGAGGCTTGGGAAGGACCACCCCCTCCCAGTTGCAGAAATGGCCCCTGGTTGGCTTATAGCCAACCAGCAGATCCTGCCTTCTGTTCTGTAAGGTTTGTGTAATATCCAATTCAGGCCAGAGAAAGGATACATCTCAGCATTCGCTTGGGATCTACCAGAAGAGAACCTCTCTGTACTCTTAAATAATGTAGGCTGAAGTTAACACCTGGAGCCACTGCAGCCATTTTGCTACCATGAATTGAGAGCTTAGCACTGTGTTGGGGTAAGTGGAGTGGGCTGCAGAATGGAGGGGTGGACATTGAGAGAGATGTCAATGCTGCAGAAAGCAGGATAAAGAGAGAGTGAGGACAGGTCCTGAGTAACATCGTCTGGATCTGAGTTGAGTCTCTCCTGAAGGTAGTCCCATATTTGGACTTTAAGTTAGAAACTGATTTCATTAATGTGAAAGTCAAAGTGGTCTGGAATTTCTGATACTTGAGACCAAATGAGCCCTAACTATTACAAGAAGTATGTAATCACATAATGAGGTCTTCTTGCTTGCTGCCCAGATAGAGCTGGTTTATCAAGACAGGGGAATTTCAGTAGAGAAAAAGCTTAATTCACACAGAGCTAGCTGAATGGGAGACTGGAGTTTTATTTTTCAAATCAGTCTCTCAGAAAATTTGGAGATGGGGGCTTTTTAAGGATAGTTTGGTGGGGGGCCAGGGAGTGGAGGAGTGCTGATGGGTTGGGTCAGAGATGAAATCATACGGGGTCAAATGGGTTTTTCTTGCTGCCTTCTATTCCTGCGTGGGATTGCACAACTGGTTGAGCCAGATTACTGATCTGGTTGGCGCCAGCTGTTGCATCAGAACTAAGGGTCTAAAAAACATCTCAAGCATCAATCTTAGGATTTACCATTGTGATGCTATCCCTAGGAGCAACTGGGAACGTTTGGAATACTGTGGCCTCTAGCTTCATAACTCCTAAATCATAATTTCTAATCTTGTGGCTAATATGTTAGTTTTACAAGGCAGTCTGGTCCCCAGGCTAGAAGGGGGCTTGTTTCCGGAAAGGGCTGTTATTATCTTTGTTTCAAAGTTAAGCTGTAAACTAAGTTCCTCCCAAAGTTAGTTTAGCCTGTGCCTAGGAATGAACAAGTGCAGCTTGGAGGTTAGAAGCAAAATGGAGTCAGGGGGCCAAATCCCTTTCACTGCCATAATTTTCTCACTGTTATAATTTTTGCAAAGGTGGTTTCAGGTATGCCATGCATGTCAGGTGAAAATAAATTCTTTAAATCTCTAAACTCTGAAATGTTATTGACAAGGGGTTATCCCTGCCAAGACAGCTGGAGCCATTCTACTCAAAAAGTAGGAGGATTGTATTTAAGGTTCTTGCTTTCAGATTAAATGCTGTGCAAAGCCTTAGGGCTTAACTCATTCTTACCTCTGATTAAAATTTGTTTTCAATAGAGCACTCATTACATTTGTATTGAGGTAAGAAGAATGAGGCAAAGAAGAAATAACAGTAAATTGAAGTCAAACTATTTAAATTTCTACACTTTTTAATTCTCATGTAGTTACTTAACCTCTCTGTCACCTCAATTGTCTGTAAAATCAACAGAATAATGTCTGTTTCACCTAAGATCACAGTAAAGATTGCAGTAAATAGTAAATGTGTAAAAATGGTTGAAAACTGGGATAAAATGCAAATAGGCAGATGTGAAAGAGGTCTTGAAATGATAATAAGAGAAGCACATGAAAATGACTTTCAAATTTATGTTTCTTTGGATAGTGACTGGTTTCTAAGCTTCATCTGGACCATGGCATGTCCTTAAAACCAATTAATTCCTTGAAATCTAATTCCCAATATGATGGAATTTAGAGGTGGGGCTTTTGAGAGGTAATAGATCATGAGGGTAGAGCTTCCATGAATGGGATTAGTGCCCTTATAAGAAGAGGCCAGAAAGCTAGTTCACTTCTTTTCTGCTATATGCAGACACAAAGAGATGTCAGCTGTTTACAACCTGGAAGAGAGCTGTCACCAAAACCCAGCCATGCTGGCACCATAATCTTGGACTTCCAGCCTCCAGAACCATGAAAAATAAGTTTCTTTTGTTGGTAAGCCATCTAGTTTATGATATTTGGTTGTAGCAGCCCAACCTGACTGAAACATCATTCTTCATCGTCCATTAACAGGTACAATATTTTATAGGGCCACTGGTATTAAATCATTCATTCAATAGTGTGAGGCATACAGCTAGCCACCAGGAATACAGAGAGGTAAAATATCCTTACCAGGAAAGTATGTGGGAATTCTTTGCGCTGTCTTTGCACCTACTCTGTGAATTCATCTAAAATTTAAAAAATTAAATCTCCATTAGTTCTATACTCTGTGTTATGACTGGTTAAAACAATTATCTTCCATAGACCATTATAACTCAATTTGGAGAATGATGAGAATGTGTAAGTAAAAAATGTTGAAAGGTCAAAATAAATATCCTCACAGGGGCTCATGATGTAACTACAGAAACAGCTATAGAAACAGCTTATGATGTAGCTACAGAAAGAGGACAAGCTTACTGGAGTTGAAATAGAAACACTCCTAAGATCAATGGGCAGCACTTTTAAAGTACCACTGTTTATTCAGTAACATTTTTTACTAAAAATATTTGAAATCCCCAAATGACAAGCTACCCATTCTGTTGAGGAGGTAAAGACAGATGCTATGGCCTTGGGTCCTTAGCATCAGCTGGGAAATGCTCTTTGTGATGGGAAGTGACTCAGGTCCATCACAGCAACCGGGAGGCTGACAGGCTGGCTGTGATTGTGCAGAAGAGCCAACTTTTTGCAAGCGAACGTCAGATCTTCAGGCTCCTTCTCTACGTATTGCTGCCACCTAGTGATCAAATATTTTTGTGAAACACCAAAATAAGAGAAATGTAAGCACTCTCAGATTGCTTTTTTAGTTTAATGTTTATGTGAGCAATCTAAAGTGCTCAATAGGAATGCAAAAATTCATAAAGTTGAGTAACAATTTCATATTCATCATATATCTGGGTTCTTTGGAAGATGTATAAACTCTATTCCTTAAAAAAGTTTACAATCTACTGATTGACAAAATTGAAAGTAGTACAATATAGTATGAGTGGGACAAGATCCTTATACTTCTGCTCCTACTTTGGTGGTTTTGATATCAATACATGTATTAGTCCATTTTCATGCTGCTGATCAAGACATAACTGAGACTTGGCAATTTACAAAAGAAAGTGGTTTAAGGGAGTACTCACAATTCCACATGGCTGATGAAGCCTCACAATCATGGCAGAAGGCAAGAAGGAGCAAGTCACATCTTACACGGATGGCGACAGGCAAAGAGAGAGCTTTTGTAGGGAAACTCTCATTTTTAAAACCATCAGATCTCATAAGACTTATTCACTAGCAGGAGAACAGCACAGGAAAGTCCCGCCCCCCAAGATTCAATTACCTCCCACCAGGTCACTCCCACAACACATGGGATTTCAAGATGAGATTTTGGTGGGGATACAGCCAAACCATATCAGTATGTATAGGAATAACTACCATTTGCAGGATGTCTTCATTATGGCCAGCACTGAGCTTTGTGCTTTAAATAAATAATATTTATAATCCTCAAATCATGCATTTAAGAAAGTCTTTGTTACTGTATGTTTACCTATGACAATATCGAGTCACTGAAGTTCTGGAACTTGCTCAATGTAACACAACTGATGAGTTATATAGGCAGGATATTAACTCAAGTAGCTGACTTCAAATTTAGTATATTTTGAATAAGACTGCATTGACAAAATGAGAATGTTTTCAAACAATGCAGCATTTGCAAATCCATGTGAATGTTTTTTACTTCGAAGTATCCACCATAGGAGGTTATCTCCCTTTTAAATTATTCTAAAGATATTCCACCACTGCCCTAGATCATGTCTTGGAATTATTTTGGAATTAATTTTAGAACCACTCCAGAAGGAAAACCTGTATTACTAAATTTAGTAATCCCTATTTGATTTCACATTTTTTTTAAAAGTCCTAAGCTTCACACATTTTATTTTTATGACAAAGTCTGAGTGAGAATGAGTCAGACCCTGAAATTAATGCCAAAATATTACTGGCAATCAGTAATATTCTCAATGAGTTTCCCACAAACTGTTTCAGCTGCTTCTAACAGGTATAGCAAAACATCTTCAAAAAGATTCTATCAATAAGCTAGAAACTACCAAGAACACCAGAAAACAAAGACTTCCTATCTTTTGGAAATAAAAATGACTCTGTCTTAAATAGTCTGTGAGTTGGTGATGAAATAAAGCAAAAATTTCACAGTATCCCCAAATAGTGATCTAGTCACCCTTGTATATGGACTACAGTTAAAGTACAGCTCAGAGAAAAATTTATAGCCTTACTAAAAATAAATAAATGAATTAAACTTACAAATCCAAAAGTATGAAAAAACAAAATCAACTGAAGGAAAATGAAAGGAGAAACTGTTAAAGGCAGAAATATACCAGAAAAGAGAAAAGAAAATTAATAAAAATGAAAAATAATTCTGTAACAAAATAATCATCTAAATCTTATCAAGAAAAAAGGCAAGCTGCACAAATAAAGGTTGAAAAGACGGAAAATAACCACAAAAATTGAGAAAAAGATATGTAGAATACAACTTTGCACTGTATGCACATAAATAGGAAAATATGAATGAAATGGAAAATACTTAAAGATACATACTATACTCAATTTTCATTTTTTCTTTCTTCCAACCTTGCTGTCTTTGTGATTTGTTAATTTTTTGTGACGGTAAGCTTTGATCCTTTATTCTTTATTTTCTGTGTATCTACTAGAGTTATTTTCTTTGCAGTTACCGTGAGGCTTATATAAAACATTCTATAGTTACAAAGGTCTATTTTGAGCTAATAACAACTTAATTTTAATAACATAAAAAATTCTACAGTTTTACTCCCCTCTCCTCTTGCATACACATTTTATGCTATTGGTGTCTTGCTTTACATTATTTTATATTGTGTACCCATTAACATAGCAACTCACAGGGTAAAGCAAGATATTTTACTTTTTCCAGGCAAACACAATAATATTAGCAATCTGACTAACATGGTATATTATACTAGTGTAGCAGGACAAGCCGCAGACAAAACCCCTCAGACACCGAGTTGTAGAAGGAAGGGCTTTATTCAGCTGGGAGCATCGGCAGACTGACGTCTCCAAAAACCGAGCTCCCTGAGTGAGCAATTCCTGTCCCTTTTAAGGGCTTACAAGCTTTTTATCATTTGAAGAAATACACGTAGCAAACAAGGGAGCAGTAAGCAGGGTTTTATTACTATTATAACTCCTATTGTAAGAGTTTTACATCTTCTTAGCGCTGGGAACCATTTTCCAAACAAGGCCCCAGGATTAAATCCATGCCACACTTGCATGGGCACGTGTGCCAGTTTTGTCATATTTCTAACTATGTCTTCAACTACTTGCCCTAGATCATCTATGTGTAGACAGCAATTAGTAAGGTTAAATTTCCTACAGAGCCCTCTTTCAGCTGCTCACAAGTAGTCGAGAGCCAATCTATTTTGATAGATAGCATTTTTCATCTGAGTTTCTTGCCAGGCCAGAATAGTCAAGGCTCTGCCGGTCTTATTAGTGATTATTTCCAAGACAGATTGTAACCGTATGATTTGGTTGAGCATGTAAATGGGGGTCCGGTATCCCCATGAGCCATCTTGTGCCCAAGTAGCAGGCCCATAACATTGTATGATTCTCTCAGGGGGGCCATTCATTATTTTTCGAATTTCTTATAGCTATGCTTTTTTTTTTTTTTTTTTTTTTTTTTCATGGGAAGCATAGACAGGGAAGCCCAGGAGTTCGCCTGTCTTTATGGGCAGTAGGAAGAAAGATGGTTTAATAATGCCAATAACACAATTACCTGCCCACTGGTTGGGTAATTTGGTGTAAGCTCTATGCCCACATATCCAGTGTAATCCAGTGGGGGCTGTCCAGTCTCGGTGGGACTCCGGGTGGTTCCAAACGGTTTGCAACTTTGGAAATTTACTAAATAGATTTTTCTTAGTGTGGTTTGAACTCCACTAGGTGGCTGTTTTTGTAGTACTATTATACAGTTTTTGCCCAAGGCAGCTGAGTCTTCCCACAGGAAGGGTGAAGTCCTTCCCCACTCTTGCTATATAGTATTGTCTAATGATTGAGGATTTTAGGACCCAGAAGTTATCAGGGTGATTCTTTTGAGCCAGGAATTCATCAGGAACTGGGTCTGTAGGTACTAATTCTCGGGCTTCCCATGGCCATTGATCTTCTATCACAGTTCCTCCACATACATAACATGAAGTGACGTTGAGAGACTGGGCTACATGCTTGGCTAATTGCAAAAACTAATTTCTTGTTTTTCGTGGAATTTCTGGTACTGGCACATTCAGTTCATCATAGAAGGTTTGAAATACTGGCTCAGGAGAGCATTTATAAACTTCTCCTCCAACCACAATATTTACTTGAGGATCCAGTCCAGTCCCATCAATTCCTAGGGTTACATGCTCCCTTTTTTTCCAGCGAGGATGAAGGGGGTTGGTTATTACTAGTTCTAAGGGGTTACACTGACCACTGGTACAGGAAGGGCCACTTTTCCTTTTCTGAAGGTGGACAGGATCCTTTTCATTTTTTGTCCAAGTAGCCTAAGTGACACAAGACCAGTATCCACGTTCATTTCCATACAGCCCTAATTCATCACAAATGTACTTATTTTCTGCCATATAGCCTCTTTCCTAATTAAGACAACCACATCCTATTCCTAACTTATTACTATTAATGACAGCACAGGCATCAAATTTCAAGGTGACTTGTTTGGGCACCCCTTTTTCTTCTGTTTTGGCTAACATTTTACTCATATCATGTATGAGCCCCCACAAGTCCTCAGTTCTTAACCTTATTTCAAAAACTATGGTCATGGGAGGCTCAGATGGGTCATAACACACATCAGGTTGGTCATTTCCTGGGCTACATACCTTGTATAGAATAACATTATACAAACAATTTCTTTTTAGAGTTCCAGTACACTTATAATAACCATAAGATAATAGGACCGTAGCAACCTTTTGTCCTACCTCAGTGACTTGATGTATACACTGCGAACAGTCCTCAGTCTGGGGAAGGTCAGCTGAAGTCCTTACTGTACAAGTCCAAATTTTAAGGCAAATGAGTCCCATGATGAGTTTTCTCATGCTTCAGCCATGCGTGGACCAGTCAGCTTCTGGGTGTGACTGGAGAAGGGCTTGTTGTCTTCTTCAGAGTCACTGTGCAGGGGTTGGCGAAGCTGCTCCCATCCACGTACCGCTCACAGTCTACTGATGTTCAAGGATGGTCTCGGAGATTGGGCCTACTAGAATAAACTGAATCCAACACCTCCACACAGTTATGTTCAACTGGGCTCTCCAATACCAGGAGCAAGGTCGTGGGGTTTAGAGTGTTGCAAACTTCAATGGTTATGCAGGGATTTTCACATAGCAAGCTTTGGTACTTGGTTAATCTAGCATTTGTTAACCAATGATGTCCTTTGGTATTTATCAAAGTTACCACAGCATGGGGGTCCTGTATATTCAGGTTTTGCCCAAGGGTTAGTTTATCTGCTTCTTGTGCTAACAAGGCTATTGCTGCCAGGGCCCTTAGACATGGGGGCTAGCCTTTGGAAACCATGTCTAGTTGTTTTGAGAGATAGGCCACTGGCCTTGGCCAGAGCCCCACAGTCTAGGTTAAAACTCCGACTGCCATTTTTTCTCTTTCTGACACATAGAGTGTAAAGGATTTTGTCAGGTCAGGTAGCCCCAGGGCTGAGGCCAACATGAGTTTTTCTTTTAACTCATGAAAAGCTTGTTGCTGTTGGTTGTAATAGATGGAGTTTATCCAATCTACATTTTTATTAACTGTCACCCACCAAAATATTGACTCATATCCTGCAGCTATTTGATTTCAAGCTTTAAATTTATCTGGTATTCCCTGTGGGACTCCAATTGCATCTAGATAGATGTGAGAGTCAAAAGACCCATAAGAGGCTACTCTCGCTTTATGATGTCTTATTTTTTCTCCCTCTAGTTGATGAAATGCCAGGGTGAAAGGGATAGCCAATTGGACTAAAGTACAAGTGCCACTCCAGTTATTCGGCAGAGTGCCCAGCAAAGGTCCACCACAATACCACCACACATCCACTCAGCGATGAACAAGGGCTGACTGATAAGCTCTTGAAAATTCTTAAGCTCACTGCATCCCTTCAGGTCTCCAAGGAACGCTAAGTTTCCTCCCTGTCGTGAGAGTCATGAAGTGAACTTAGTGTTGTGAGATGGAGGCTGGATGGCCCTTGGGGGCTGACCCACAGGGTGCCAGACTTCAGGATATAGCAGAGAGGGCTTGGCATGACTTATTACTCCAGTCTGTAGAATCCTGGAAAAGAGCTACCATGCAGCCCACACCTGGTCGACTGGAGGACCACCTTAGTGGAAAGGGGACAGTCTGGGCCTCTGGCCTGCTATGCGCATAAGCATAACAATTGCTTTTGTTTAATGTGCAGATGGAATATTTGATCCATTCCAACTAGGCATTTGCATCTTGGTATCCTGTCTTAATTGCCAAAGTGTGTTTAAAGTCTTTAACTTCTATGATCTTCTAGTAAAATGAATGTATGATTTTAGGAAATTACAAAAACCGGTTGGGGCAGTCCATTCTTGCTCTTTAGTGGTCCACAGAACGTTGGACCAACTTGGCATAAAAGCTCTACATCAGGGGGCAAGACTCCTGGTTGACACTGGAGTCTTTATCGAAATTTCCCTGGATTAAATGGTCCTAATTTACTAATGCCCAGTCTGAGGAGAGTCAGGAGGGACAGGGGTACTTTTCTGAAGTAGAGAGCTGTCTTTGACTTGGCAAGTCCCCAAAGGGTATAACAAGGCAAGCATTAAATGCAATAGTTTGAGGCGAAATCGACTTGGTTATGTTAATAACTAAGTGGTGAGCAATAGAGCGATGAAAGAAGAAAGAGTAATAGAATAGATGAAAGAGTTAAATTTTTCTTAGCTTTAGTTTGGTAGGCTTTTCCCCTGGGACTGTGGCCCATGACTCTGGAAGGGGTGGTGCTTTGACTCGGGTGTGATGAGCCCATCCCTTTTTCGCTGTACGCACAGCAGTCTCAGTGGTTAGCAGCACAAGGTAGGGTCCTTCCTAGGCTGGCTCGAGTTTTTCTTCTTTCCACCCTTTGATGAGAACATGATCCTCAGGCTGGCACTGGTTTAATGGAAATTCTAGGGGTGGTATCTGTGCTAAAAGACTTTTAGTTTTGAGGGAAAGGAAAGTGGAAGATAAACCAGGTATATAATTTCTAAGAAATTCACCTTTTGTTTTAAATGTGGGGACATCAACAGTGGACTTTACAGTCTTTGGTGCCTTCTTACTGAGAAATTTCCTTTAGCACCTATTTTTATTAGTTTTTAGACCAAAGAGAGCCAAATAACATTTTATATTTAATAATGCTTTTTGTATGATTTTTATACCAGATAAGCTAAATTTCACCTTTATATTAGTGTGTTATTAATGTTAAACTTAGTTTTAATAAAACTTTGTAGACATATTTATTCTATTTTTAATGTCAGACCATAAGGTAAGATTTTTAGAGACCTTTCTTTAACCTTTTATAATCTTTGTTGAACAGAGCAGGTTAGTACTTTAAGAAAAACCCATTGTGTTTTTACTTTAATGTCCAGTTCACAGAAAAACTGGGTGATACCCCTTTAACTTTAGCTAATATGTTTACACACAGAATTTACACACAATTAACATTTGAAAACTTGCTTAAACTTTTAAAACAATTTTTTAACCTTTTAATGTAGGTAAAAGTCCACATTCTTATGCCTCCTTATAATCCCTTTACCAAAGGTATATTTCACTTTCCTTATACACCTTGCACATAAACTGTCCCTTCAATAGTTTTACATTCAGGAGGCCTAATTACTTTTAAATTATATAACATTTCTTGCATAAATTCTTTTTCTAACACACTTTTTTTTAAACTTTTTTTCTTTCACGACTTTTACAGGCAATTCTTTGACGTGCCTTAACTTTCTGACTTATTACCAACATTTCTTTCTTTAAACAGCCAGTTAATTTATTTCAGGACAAGAATTTACCATATAACATTCTTTTTATGTAAGTCTTGCCCCTGCTTTTTTTCCCTTTTTTTTTTCGACGATAACCATTCTTTTTCAAAGCAAACTTCCTTTATGTCTGTGGACTAGACTGTCTAAGGCCACAAGATTAGAAGTTACTATAATACATGTTACACTGTTAACTTTTAGCAAACTTTACTTTTGTTGAAACCCTTGTAAGTTTGAGATTTCAATTATCCTTTGCTATTAGTAAGACCTTGTTTAGTCCAAATTAACTTACAATTGGTATAGATGGCTTTCTTTTTCCTTCAATTACCCGGGAAGAACTGTCTATAGTCCTGTCTTGAAGGGAGTTCCTCCTAGGTCTGATTGGACCTATGTATGGTAATTAAGATTTAGATCTCCTGTTGGGAAACCTGCTGGATTAAGGGAATTTTCAGTGGTTAATGTTAAATCATCTTTTTTTTTTAACAGGACAGCCCCATGCTTTAAGATTTTTAAGTTAGTAACCTACTTTTTGCTTTTTTTTTTTTTTCCCTTAGGATACTTCTGAACTGTTGAGGTATGCTCACAATGAGGTTTCCTCTAAAAGTTATTTTTCTACTTTCTTCTGTTAGCAAAGCAGTTGCCGCTACAGATTGAATGCATTTGGGACATCTGCAGATAGGTTAAGGACTTTTGATAGGAAGGCTACAGGTTGTCAGTGACCTCAGTGCTTTCGGGCTACACCCTTGTTTACGCTGACAACAAAGTGGTATTGGAGTGTTATAGAGTTACGGAGAATACCTTTAATTATCAATTACAGGTTTTAAATTTACCCTGGCTTTTAAAGGAATAGAGTGCACTGTTGTTGTTGTTTTTCTTAACTACTTGTATATCTCTCTTTCTCTGACTTTCTTTCTGACTTTCCTGTTGCCTCTGTCTCTTTCTCTCTCTCTTCGTCTCTCTCTCCTTGACTCCCTCTTTGTCTCGCTGTCTCTTCCTCTCTCTCTTTGCCTCTTTTCCTCTCTGTCTCTTTCCTTTCTCTCTCTCTGCTGGTCTTTCCTTGCCTCTTCCAGCCGCTTATGCTGCTGTTCTCTCAACGACTGTGGGGTGGGGGGTCTAAAACCAGCTGTAACCGAGTGTCTATGTACAGGAACTGGTCTGGGTGCCCTGGCTTCCAGGTTGTCTTGTGCCATGCCTTTGAAACAAGGGACCTGTCCAGGCTTCCTTCTGATGGCCAACCCACCTCTAATGCTGGCCAGTCTATCTTACACAAAGTTTTAAGTTTTCCTGGTGTCATAGTACTCCATAGTCTCCCTTAAATCCTTTTTTGAAAATTTTCAACATAGTTCCTGCTGGGGTGGGCTTACCTTGTGCCTGACCCACACTTCCTCGAGAAAAACCACCACACTCACAGCACAAAACAAAGAGAGGGTAAAAAGGGCGCACACACACTTTTACAGTTTACACCAAACCAGAATCAAAACCAAAATCAAAGTATCAAGAAATCCAAGCCAGGCCAAAACCAAAGTATCAAGCAATCCGAGTCAAGTCAAAAACAAAAACCAAAGTGCCGGTACAGGCATGTCGTGGGTGATCAGGCCATGCTTCCACTCAAATGGAGTGGGCAAGTTCCAAAGACCAGTCTTACCAAGTTTCACATGTCCAGACTCCAAGTGCCAGTTCCTTCCTGGTGTTCAGCCACTGCGTTGATCCTCTGCGGGGGCCTGCTGTGCACCGCTCTGACGAGGCATTCCACCAGGGCAAATGCCTACCCAGGAGTGCCCTCAGAATCCACGTCACTCAGTCTGGCTGGAGTCCCCCGCAGGGATGCTCCACAGGGCAGGCCTAAGCTGCCTAAGGGGCTGCCTCAACCGTCCATCAGTTAATCACCTCTCTTCCTGGTCAGGGAACCAAGAAATGTAGCAGGACAAGCCGCAGACAAAACCCCTCAGACACTGAGTTGTAGAAGGAAGGGCTTTATTCAGCTGGGAGCATCAGCAGACTCATGTCTCCAAAATCCAAGCTCCCCAAGTGAGCAATTCCTGTCCCTTTTAAGGGCTTATAACTCTAAGGGGATCCGCGTGAAAGGGTCGTAATCGACTGAGCAAGCAGGGGGTACGTGACTGGGGGCTGCATGCACCGGTAATCAGGACAGGGATTTTCACAGCGCTTTTCCATACAACAATGTCTGGAATCTGTAGATAACATAACTGGTTAGGTCAGCAGTCGATCTTTAACCAGGTCCGGGGCGCAGCACCAGGCTGTCTGCCTATGGATTTTATTTCTGCCTTTTAATTTTTACTTCTTCTTTCTTTGGAGGCAGAAATTGGGCATAAGACAATATGAGGGGTGGTCTCCTCCCTTACTAGTACTAGTAGTAGTTGCTTGCAATTTCACCACCAGATCATCTTTGTAAAGGTGGATTTTCAGTAGTTACTATATAAAAAAGCAAGTGTGAATCACTGTAGAACAGAAAATGAGGGTGATGGTGTCTGATATGGTTTGTCTGTGTCCCCACCCAAATCTCATCCTGAATTGTAGCTCCCATAATTTCCATGTGTCATGGGAGAGATGTGGTGGGAAGTAATTTAATCCTAAGGGCGGGTCTTTCCCATGCTGTTCTCATGGTAGTGAGTAAGTCTCATGAGAGCTGATGGTTTTATAAAGGGGAGTTCCCCTACACAAGCTCTCTTGCCTGCCACCTTGGAAGATATGACTTTGCTCCTCCTTTGCCTTCTGCCATGATTGTGAGGCCTCTCGAGCCATGTGGAACTGTGAGTCAATTAAACTTCCTTTCCTTTATAAATTACCCAGTCTTGGGTATGTCTTTATTAGCAACATGAGAACAGACTAATACAGAGTCCAATCTCACTCTGGGCTTTACGAAATCATACAGACCTAAGAAGTTCACATGCTCAACAAATTAAGTAACTGTCATTTTTACTTCATTAAAAAATAACATTTTTCTTTGAATTTATGTGGTTTATCCTTTTCAAATGGCTATTAAGTTGTTAGGACATAAATATTTATTTTATCTTTTGTACCTAATTAATAAGTAGTACTTAAAGGTATTTTTTTGGGCCTAGGGTACCATGAAAAATGATTGGGTGACAAAAGATGCAGTGGATGAAGACAGCTGCAGAACCTTTAAACTAATCACTAAAGTTGCATATGGGGGCTCATGCCTGTAATCCCAGCACTTTGGGAGGCTGAGGCCATAGGATCACTTAAAGCCAGGAGTTTGAGACCAGCCTGGGAAACATAGCAAGAACCTATCTCTGCAAATAAATAAATCAAATAATCACTCAAAAGTATACCTATTGGTAATTAACACATTCAAACCTGTACTACTTTATATTAGAGGTCAGCAAACTTTTTCTATAAGGGGTTAGATAGTATATTAGGTTTTGCAGTCCACACTTGGTGTCCGCTGCATATTGTTCTTCCCTTGTTTTTACAACCCTTTAAATAAATAAAAATAATTCCTAGTTCACAGGTCATTCTAAAACAGGCTGCAGACCACATTGAATCACGTACTGCACTTGTTATTCTTGCACCTGCTGCTGACTAAGTTGCAGTCATGGGAAAGTTGCCATTGTCTCCACACATACGAAGTTGATCACAGACATCTGTGTTGATCTCTTCTCAGTCAAGTTTTGTGGATTCTTCTACATATGCTAAATTTAATTACTTTTAAAAAATTTATAAATGATTATACTATGATTTAGCATTGAAAACAAAATCTTACTATACAAAGGTGTTTTATTGGCCTCTTCTTCATTTTATTAATGAGGAAATAATTCTCACCATAGGGTTATGGGGATGGTCAAACACAACACCCAACACAATGGACAGATGACATTGTCAGTGAATTACCCATGACTGGGTAATTTATAAAGAAAAGAGGCTTAATTGACTCAGTTCCACAGGCTGTACAGGAAGCATGGCTGGGGAGCCTCAGGAAACTTACAATCATGGTGGAAGTTGGAGGGGAAGCAAACACATCTTACCATGGCAGAGCAGGAGAGAGAGGGAAGGGGAAGGGAGAAGTGCTACACACTTTTAAACAACCAGATCTCATGAGCACTCACTCACTATCACACGAAAAGCAAGGGGGAAATCCACTCCCATGATCCAATCACCTCCCTCCAGGTCCCTCCCCCAAAACTGGGAATTACAATTCCACATGAGATATGAGGGGTACACAGAGCCTAACCATATCAGTTTATTACTCACATACAGTCAGCCTGGGAGAGGAGGGCATTGCACCACGCAGGACCACACAGAGGTTGCATTCAGGAACCAAGTGCACAACCAAGGACTGTTAGAAACAGCATCAAGAAACGGGATACTCCCTGGTGCCTATAAAAGGATGTGATGGACTTGTCTGAATAACTCTATAGACTGATAGGTAACCCAGGATAAGCAGGAACTGGTCTCTGCAATTCCAGTGGCATAAGTGTCCAGTGTCAGTCAAATGCGTCACCTAAATCTCAGCAGCGGCAGAAGAATGTGTCCTCTTCTGATTTGAGACATTCTCCCTGCCTGTGTAACCTCCAAGCTTATTTTCCTGGCATCTCAAAAGGTTCTGTAAGGTATCACTATCCTTTAATAATTTCTTTCTGCCTTCATCAACTCATCATTCTTTTGCTTACAATAATGTATTTTTGACACTGGATGCTCTAAGTTGGACTTTTGTGCTTACGACTAAACTAATACGAAAATTAGTGCTGGAAAAAAAAATCGTAGGCCTTTCCAGCAAAGAAGTTGGAGAAATTCAGGATTTATGGCCTGGCCTCGTTGGTGCTGACAGCCATAAAAATTCTTTGTACAATTAAGGGCTTGAACTCTCTGGCAGCTCGCAGTGATGTCATGCATAGGCTCTCTATGGTCACCTGTAATGAAGAGCCCATTAAACAGAAAATTTGGAAGCCTGGGTGGCTGGTGAATGGAAGAGGATGTAAGTCTGAGACCATCAAGGGATTTGAGGTGAGCTGCTTGCTTTTGATAGTGGTACACAGTCTAAAACTCCAAACTTTGAAGTCCAAAATTCTCTGCTCAAGGCATGGACTAAAAGTTAGTAACCATGATTTAAAATTGTGTTAAATAATCTTTTACCACTTGCAGCATCAGAATGGGATGACCAAGAAACTTTACATGTTTCAGAAAGACGATAGACCATATCCCCATTATGTCATTTCTATTATTGTATCTTCTCAAGTTTTGTCTAAAGTATTTGTTACGGTTTATTTATGGCATTTTCATTTTTCTTACTATCGTGAATGGAGTATATTCCATTATATTTTGAATGCACTATTTTTCCCTTCACAATAGAAGCTGTTATGGCTGTTATATATGAAATTTCATATATGTTCTCTATAAGTATTGTAATCATTCACTTAAACTGAATCTCTTGATTCTCCACAACTGTCAAAGTAATGTTTTTGTTTTCCTGTTAGGTACATCCTCTGCATAATAATAATTATCTGTCCTTCTTTCCAATAGTTATATGTCCTTTCTCCCTAGAAAATATGTTACCTACTTATTCAAATATAATTTTTTTTAGTTTCAAGTGCACTAAAATATTTTTCAATTATGAAGAGATGCTAACTTTTCATATTCAAATACCTTTCCAGCATCCTCGGGATTATCCGGTTTGTCTTGCCCTTGACTTCAAAGTGAGGAAAGATGTTGTTTCCTATCAGTGTTCTTTCTTAGTCTGGACTATACATATTTTATTAACAGCAAGTCTCCTTCTCCAGGGATGAACCTAATTGATTCAGGGAGATTTCAGGACCTGACTTGAACCCACAGCTCCAGGTCCTTAGCACTTCCTAGGGCTGACCTGGCAGGAAGTAGAGTAGGTAAAACCACATTTCCTGCCCTCCCTCACTCCCTTCCAGAGCCAGAAAACACATAAGCCTGGGTGTGAAATGAAAAAGAGCAGCAATAGCAACTTACTTATGAGGAGAAACACCTTTTCCCTCAATTTTGTAATAGGTGAGGGGTGGGGTGAATTTTGGCGAAGATCAACTAGGAGCTGTGATTATTTTATAAGAATCAGCTAACTTTCATGTTACCTCTTACCTTCTCTGACTTTTGTTCCCTGAAAATGGTATTTGAATAGTGACATAAGAAAAAAAGACCTCTCATTTTAGCTGTGTTCCATCTCTTATATTTGAAATGTGAGATTTCCAATATTATGACATAGTCTACTTCTTGGGTAGGTGATGGCTGATGACTTGTGCTATCTGTTTAGGGCAGCACCGACTTAGCCAGTAGAGTTCCTGAGGCATGCTTACCTGACAGTGAGAAACTTTTCATATGCCCATATATGCTCATGTTTCTAAGTGTTATACCAACACTTAACATCATTGATTTATGTATTAAAAATAAATTTAAAAATGAATTATCTGTTTAAAGGTTAAAACTTAAATAACCTTTCTAAATATACTTTGTGAACTTATATTGTAAATATGTTATAATCTTATGTTTTACATGATAAAAAGTACATATATGAGAACAGAGTAGGTTTTTTTTTTCTTTGTATCATCCTTTAAGGGAGGAAAATAGATTACTATTTAGTGTCACATATTGTTGTGTCTTCACTAACATTCTCTCATTGACAAAAAAGTAGAGCCAGGGTGAAGCAATGGAACCATTGATTTTAAAGCCTATGGTCCCCCTGCATACCCATGGCCTCACAAAGCTAGGTTCTTTACATTCAATCCTGCCCACATTTTATCAAGACTTTTAAAATCTGCCTCTGATCCTTTTGAGTATCCAAGGTCATCTATTCTTATAGGCTAAGCTCATCTCACTTTGTCCTTTGATTCCTGCAAAACATACTGCTCTCCCTTTTCTCTGAACAGCTATAAAATGTAGACTACTTTGTCACATAAATGTCAGCATTCATATACATTTTTTGGTCTTATCCAGTTATATTATATGATAGTACTTTCTAGCCTTCAACATTCTGTCCACTGGATTACACTTCAATCAGCTTCTTTGTCCTGCTAAAATCCAGCATCAAGTTGAGTATCTGATACTCAGGAGTATGTGTGATTAAATAGAAGTATTTGTAGACTCATGAAATGTCAAAAGCATTATGAGGATACACGGGAGGCTTGGGAGTGCCTTTTTATTTAACCTCACCACCTCTGTGCACACACTAATGATTGAAGTAAAAAAAAAAAATACTAGAGAGCAATAGAAAGGTTAAAAATTTAAGTACCGGCCAGCGCGGTGGCTCACGCCTGTAATCCCAGCATTTTGGGAAGCTGAGGAGGGTGGATAACGAGGTCAGGGGTTCAAGACAAGCCTGGCTGACATGGTAAAACCCTATCTCTACTAAAGATACAAAAAATTAGCCAGGCGTGGTGGTGCATGCCTGTAATCCCAGCGACTCGGGAGGCTGAGGCAGGAGAGTTGCATGAACCTGGCAGGCGGCGGTTGCAGTGAGCCGAGATCATGCCATTGCACTCCAGCCTGAGCAACAGGGGGAGACTCTGTCTGAAAAAAAGAAAAAAATTAAGTACCTAGTAGCAAACTAATAAAATAATATTTTAGGGCAGTTTTAAAATTAGAGCTTAAACAATAGAGATGACTAGTAAAAATGATTTTTGAACTGTGTCCCACGCAGTTCTAGGGTCGTATCAGGCTTCCAAAGAGACTTTGGGGGAAATGAAGATCTAAGTTGGCCAAGCTCAGCTTCCTCAACACAGCCTGAGGTGGAATGGTTCCACAGTCTTTCATTTTATTTTGTATTTTTGCATTCTGTGGAATATTTCATCCATAAAAAGGGGCTCAGCTGATTAAACCAATTGATAATTTTAGAAACCACCAATTTGGTTCAATGCTTTGTTTTTAGGAATGAAGAAATTGTAGGTCAGCCAGTGCAAATGGTTTGTTTGACCTCACCCAGCTAGATCATGGTGGATTTGAGACAATACACAGATTCAAGAAGCATTTATAAAGTACTGGCTGATTACTAGAGGTCCTGGTTGCTAAGTACTTCCACATATTCTCCAGCATTCATAACGTAGCCTCTAGTTTCAGGATAGAAAGATTTGCCCTAGTAGCAACTTGTTGAGTGACTAGGTTGTCAAGAAAAATATTTCTTGTACCTTTCCCATTCAGAAGCCATGCTAATGTTATTTTTAAATATAGTGAAGACTGCTTGATATTTTTATACATGATAATTTTGTTTAAAAATACTGATGTAAAGGAATTATGTGCCTCTACCGTATCTTTTCCCCTCTAAACGGGCTTGAAGGGAATTTCTGCCTTCAACTAAGCCTCCATCACCCAAGTGATTTCTACATAGAGGCGACCACGAGAGGGCGCCAAAGACATTGCTCTCAAATCTGCATCCACTTGGAGGCTACGTTTTTTATTTCATTGTAAATTTAGAGGAAGTGGGTGGGGAAGCCCAAGGCCTGGGAAAATGACCATAATAATGGTACCTCGTGTTTATATAGCACCTTTCTTCAATTAACTCAGCATGTTGGGATATGATTATTCAGCTGGGAGCTTCCAGTTGTGGGAAATGAGGCACAAGGCAAACACGTGGCCTAGGTGGGACAGAGGGTAAGACTAATTCTTACTCATTTCAAACGTCCATTCATTATTTTTACTCTCAAAAGCTGATATGTGACGTTTCCTGCACATTTCCTTAGAAACAATAAGCTGAGAAGTCAGAGGCCCAAACTCGAATAGATTAAATGGAAATATTCATTCTGCAAGGGAAAGAAATCACACTCCTCCCAGAGCCAAGGAAGGAAGTAAAACCAAATTTTAAAAATTATATAATCAAATTATAAGATGTCAAGTGGAATGTATTATTTTGCAAAGTACATCATGAAAACAACATAGCTTTAAAAAAAATCTTAGCTACATCCTTAAACAAATCTACTCAAATTTGTAATGTAAGTCATTCATCTTTTCTTCGTCCAAGATGACAACAAAAGTAAAGAACAGGCAGGAGAATCGCTTGAACCCGGGAGGTGGACGTTGCAGTGAGCCCAGATCGCGCCACTGCACTCCAGCCTGGGCGACAGAGCGAGACTCCATATCAAAAAAAGAAGAAAAAAATAAAAAATAATAATTAAAAAAGAACAAATTGAACTTTAAAAAGCTAAACTTTAGTACTGCTAAAGAAAATATTATTCCAGAGTTTAATGTGTTAAATAAATGTGCCTCCCAGCACTTTGGGAGGTCGATGCGGGTAGATCACCTGAAGTCAGGAGTTTAAGACCAGCCTGGCTGACGTGGTGAAACCCCATCCCTACTAAAAATACAAAAATTAGCTGGGCATGGTGGCAGGCACCTGTAATCCTAGCTACTCAGGAGGCTAAGGCAGGAGAATCGCTTGAAACCAGGAGGTGGAGGTTGCAGTGAGCCAAGATTGTACCAATGCACTTCAGCCTGGGCAACAAGAGTGAAACTCCATCTCAAAACGAGTAAATAAAAACAAACAAATGTGCCAAGGTGAATTAGTAGAGAAACGTTAAGAAAGATAATTTGATTAATAGACAATTAGGTCTGTGGCTTAATCATCGACGAATAATATTGCTATAGTGAATGATTCCAGTGAGAGCATTTGCAAAGACTGGTATGTAATACACGACTAAGATGCTGTCTTCCTCTAGAGTCATTTCGGGTCTCTCCTACAAATTCAAGGTCTTGAGTTTTTTCAAAGTATGAAGCACGGTCTCTAACTTCAAAATTAATACGTGGGCATTTACTCATAGGTATGTTTGAGACTGCGACTTTGCAAGTTTACACCCTCGAGGGTCATCTGTTTTCAATAAATATATATATATTTTCTTTACATTGCAGATGGTGCTTGAATAGGGCCTGCTTAATAATGCATATGACCTTAATGAATACCTGTCATATAAAGGGTTTGTCCAAACGTGTGAGGGGATGAATACGTTTGCAATTAGCTGATCTTCATTTTATGAAAATACACATTTCAGAGACTCTGCATGTCCTGAAATGGAAACAAATCAAAACACGTTTCTTTCTCTCTTACTTCTTTCCCTCTTCCACATTTTGTTGAATTTGAGAAATTCCAGTGATTGATTTGGGTTTTGTGATAGTTAATACTGGGTGATAACTTGATTGGATTGAAGGATGCAAAGTAGTGATCCTAAGTGTGTCTGTGAAGGTGTTGCCAAAAGAGATTAACATTTGAGTCAGTGGGCTGGGGAAGGCAGACCCACCCTTAATTAATCTGGGTGGGCACCATCTAATGAGCTGCCATGGAATAAAAAGCAGGCAGAAAACCATGAAAAGGCTAGACTGGGCTAGCCTCCCAGCCTACACTACATCTTTCTCCTGTGTTGGATGCTTCCTACCCTCGAACATCAGACTCCAGGTTCTTCAGCTTTGGGCCTCGGACTGCCTTCCTTGCTCTTCAGCTTGCAGATGGCCTATTGTGGGACCTTGTGATTGTATGAGTTAATACTACTTACTAAACTCCCATATACATATACATATACATGTATATGTGTGTATATATAATTAGTTCTGTCCCTCTAGAGAATCCCAATACAGGTTTTATGGGAAAATATTTGTTTTTACCTTGTTTATTTGGATATTTACTCACATGTCTACTTTTCTAGGAATGGGGTAGACTGACTTCTACATACTGACTATAACCACTGTACATCATTTCTCTCCCTCAAAATAATACAAATATATAGGATTTGGCTTTGGAGGTTAGGGGTTTTAAGAATGTTAGACTGAGTAACTCAAACACTCATGAATCCAAAGGTACAAAAAGTAAAGTGTTACTACTTTAAACTCATCCTGATCACCACTCAATTCCTGTTTGAAATCATTGATTTCTCATTGATTTGAGTTTTCTAGAAAACCAAGCCACAGCAATGTTAAGTGGCTTGCTCATAAAGAGTCAGTGGCAGCTCAAAGACACTAACCTAGGTCTCTTAAAGTAGCCTTTATTATTTTCATGAATCTTCTTAATATTCCAGAGGGATTTTCTTTTTAACTTCTAGGTAAAAAAATAGGATGAAAAAGTCAATTCTCTTAAGATAGTGGGTAAATTAATTTTATTCCGTAAATATTTTTGAGACACTACCATATGTAGGGTTCTATTTAACACAGAGGTGAATACAGATAGCGTGGGACCTCTAAGGACTCAGAACTACTTCTTATATTTTCTAATTAATTTAGGTAATTTTTTAAAAAGACTAAATCTTGGTGTCTGTAGTTTCGCATTTTCTGATTAGAAATATATTCACATCCAGGTAAACCCTACAAGCAGTATTAGATAAACTATGGCCACCCCTCTTGGTACGTCCTCTTTATGATAGTTTTCCTCTGGAGAAAATTCAAAAATCAAGTTTTACCCTGAAGTAATGAAATAAAAAATTTCATTTAACTTTTGAGAGCTTCAGTCATTACTTTTCATATTTTGAGCCTAAGTTTAATCCTGAATATTTCTGGATTTCAAATTCCTTAGTAATGCTAATCACTGGAATTACAATTTTTTTTATCACATATACCACACATCTGCTAAAACACAAAGTACATTTTACTGAAACTGTTTGATATTTGCCTAAGTAATCGGTGAAATTCCTATAAGATTTTATTTCATTCATCCTCATGTCTCATAGTACATGTAAAACTAAAGATAAATGCATGGTAAATGAATAATTCAAGATTGAGTAGATAGATGAGTGTTTGTAAGAATCAAGCACAAATAGGGTCAGTCCAGGACAGGGAAAAGTGATAAAATGGAAAATGAACAAAGATAGAAATTTAGGGATCAACTACACTTAGGTCATTGCAAAAAGAAAAGTTGGAGAAAACTATGATAAACAATCAGAGAGCTAGGGAAAGAGGCCATTGGTATTTTGTGTTGTGGAAAACAAAGAGGACATTTTTAGAAGTTTGGGTTGGCAATAGTGTTAAAGGTTAGAAATGATAGGAAATGTGGTAGTTATTAGAACTGTCCATAAATATTCCAGCCCTCTCTCCCCTTTGTGGTACATTAAAGACTGTTTCCCTGACTTGTTTTGGCTGATGAAATGTGATTGGAAATGACTTGTGTTATTTTCCATTGAAAGCTTTGATAGCCAGTGACAACTTCCCCATGTCTCCTTTTGTTTCCACTGCTAGGTGACAGAACGTTTAGATAACAGCTGCTTCATTACCTTGGGACTAAGCACAGGGTGCCGTGTAATGTGAACTCGATTCTTCTCCCAACCCACAAAGGACATGTTGCATGAATAAGAAATACATCTTAGTTCTTTAAAGCCATAGATTGTGGGACTGTTTGTTAATACAGCATTAACTAGCCTGTTCTGACTGACACAGAGAGTGAAAAGAAGTAATAACCTGTTATTAGATAGGAAGTAATTAAAATAACAAGGAAGTAGACTGAAAGACTTAAACAATGAGTCATTGATAAGAAATTAGGGGAAAGGGTGTGAACTACTCATTTAATGTAAAAAGAAGAGAACCTACCTGTTACATCTATAAAAAATGTTATTTGATTTGGGAGGCCAAGGTGGGTGGATCACGAGGTCAAGAGATCAAGACCACCCTAGCCAACATGGTGACACCCTGTCTCTACTAAAAATACAAAAATTAGCTGGGCATGATGGTGTGCACCTGTAGTCCCAGCTACTCAGGAGGCTGAGGCAGGATAATCACTTGAACCTGGGAGGCAGAGGTTGTAGTGAGCCGAGATCGTGCCACTGCACTACAGCCTGGTGACAGAGTGAGACTCCATCTCACAAAAAAAAAAAAAAAAAAAAGTTATTTGGAAAAAGAATCCTAAGAAATAATGGGAAAAATGTGTATTGACACTATACAGGGAATAGTTTCATGTTTGGAAAGTGTTGAAGAAGGCTATATGCAATATACCCGCAGGTGAGAAATGATTGATGAAATTACTGAGTGAACTGCTGTTCATCACAATTCAAAAGTCTGTATTTGGAGAAAATAGCACTTATTACCTAGCAGAACTACAATACCATCTTCTAGCTTAAAAAATAAAACACTAGAAGTGCAGATGTCTCTTGGGGCGATTGGTAAAGGCCTAATCTCCATCTACTAGCTTCTTGGAGAACTAGAGAGTCTTCTTTTGAAGTCACTCATTTGTGTTGCTAAGTGAAGAATACTCTAAGTGAAATATGGTTGATATTCCAATTGGCTACTAACAAAGTAATTTGGAGAGGGTGTCACCGGCTGAGTTATACTCAAGCTTCCATAACAACTATGTAAAAGAAACTTTGTAGTGCAGAAGCAAACTTGACTGTGCGGAATACTGCCCGTTATTTTCACCAAAAGTCCTGGATATATGATCTGGCATAGTTAAACCTTAATAAAACTAATTTTTTTCATGTCCTGCAGAGTTTTGTTAACTCAAATAGAGACTTGAAAGATATATTTCTAAAAACACCCATTTTGACTCTCTGAAATAGAAAAAGATTTTGTATCAAAGGTCCTGAAATAAAAACATAAAATAGAAAAATATAACCTGTTAGTACCAGAGCAGTGAACAGAAACATCCATATAAATAAAGGAGAAGTCAGTAAGTATATCTTGTGAAAGCTACTGAAAGAATCAGAACCCGAGGACTTCAGAAAATCTTGAACTTTCAAAGAAATCTGAGAGAGTATGGCAGCTATGAATTTAGAAGAGGAGGGGAAAAAGTCACTATAGAAAATAAGGATATGATTACTAAACAGAAAAAGTGCAGTGGAGGAACTGAACTGTTTAAATTATTAAAGTAGAAGACAATCTTAAGAAGTCACCTAGAAAAATCAGAGTAAGACAATAAATACAAAAGTGTTAAGAAACAATCAGAATTATAGGTAACAGAACAGAGATGTCAAATGTCATTGTAAGTGAAATTTCAAAAAAGTGAGCTGAGAAGGCATAATAAAGGAAGGAGAAAACTGGCCTAAGATAAAGAAAACCTGAATATTTAGATGTGAAAGGCCTCTTACTAAAAACTAGATAATTTTAATTAAAAATACCCACATCCCCCAATATTTTATCACTAAATATGTTACAGGGACATTTTAAAAATTATTTATAGAAAAAAAATTATATGCTCATCTTAAAATTATATGAACTTTACATAGGAAAATGGAAAATAGTAATACTTAGTTTATCAAAGAAGAAATATATATAGCCAGTAAATGGGTGGGAAAACAAGGATTTAAACGAGAGTGACAACTTTAACTTATTCCATTGGAGTTAATTAAAATAGAATAAAGCTTGATGTTATCAAAAATACACAGAAATATGAACCCTAGAATATTTTTAAGAGCAGAATCAGAGCAAACTGTATGACAATTGAAAGCAGGTAGTTAATGCTTTTTGTAAACTCTTTGACAAAATTTGTTTCCTAGAATGTATCTAAAGGAAAACAATTATCTGTATGTGCAAATATCTAGCCATAAGAATATTCAGCAAGAAAATAAAACAATAGTGTATCATCACAAATTCAGTATCTAACATGGGGCCTTGGGGTAAAGACATTACATTCATGAATCACATACTGTTGATGTATTAGGTTGGTGCAAAAGCAATTGCAGTTTTGCTTCAAAGAATAGAAAAGTATTCATCAAATTGGAAAAGAACAAGTTTTTAAAGATACAAATAGTATATTTTAAGATTATGATCATATCTGCCTAGAATTAAAAAGCCACATGTTCACATTTGTTTTCTGGACAAGATTCCCTAGTCAAACAACCCTCCTTATCACGGGGACCAGGGACACTTAATACTTATCCCTAAGTAGCAGGCTTCAGTTTTTTGCCAGTCCACAGAAATATCAAACAAGCCCATCACATTGCTCCTACAGGAACCAGAAGATACCTCCCGCTTTGATGCTGCAAAGCCCCGCTAACGTCCCACAGCCTCTGGTTGTTTATGATATCCCTCAATGTAATCCCTACGTGGCCCCATGCGTGGCATGTGATGTCCTCTTCCCCTAGGCTGTGAGTGTTTGTGACTAATACACTGTTGTTGATCTCATAGGCACAGTGCTGAGTGTCATGAGTTTGGTCCTCCCCACAACCCTAAGATGGAAATCCCTCCCTCACTAGTGGGAAGAGGAGGAGGCACATAAAACAAAAAGATTAAAGGTTCAGGTGAAATAAAGGAATTGGTAGAGCCATGTCCTAGACCAAGAACAAGCTGATGGTCTCTAACAGATAAATGAGTTAATTTTGCTAAGAAAAAGCACTCCCTTCTATTAAATAGGAGAAAAGGAGGATAGAATGGGAGAAAGGGAGGATAGAATGGGAGAAAGGGAGTGCCATCTGTGGCACACCCAGATGTGTCACTATCCACCCAGATAGAATGGGATATGACGCAGCTGTGGGATCAAATGGGATATGACCCAGCTAGAAGGGGATTGACCCAGGATAGAATGAGAGATGACCCAGCTGTGCCACTATCCACCCAGCTGTGTGGACAGTTTGGGGCTTGTTAGTCAAGTAGGAGGTGATGTCAGCTGCTGAGATCAGAAGCAGTGATAAGGGTTGGGCCTTAAGAAGTGGATTCAACAGGATAATTTTTGCCCACAAACAGCATAACTCCCAGCTAACAGTAATTCAAAGGCAATTAGTTATCTCACTTAATAAGAAGCCTAGAAGTAAGCAGTTGCAGGATGGGGTAAGGATGCTTTATAAATATCAGGGTACAGGATTATCATCTGTGAAATTTCCTTCACCTTTCCCTGAAAGTGGCAAGATGTGGTTGAAGAGTCAAACATCACTATTTTACAGGATATCACCAAAAAGCCAAGAAAAAAGGGAAAAAATAAACACATTTATTATATATAAAATACATTATACATAATATTTATATATAAATATATGTATTATATATAATAAATACATTATATATATTTTACACACACACATATACAGACACTCTTTTTTCAGAAGCTATCAGCAAGTATCTCCTTAATCTCAGTAGCCACAACTGGTCAGGGGTTATTCCAAGATCAGCAACTACCAAAGAAAATGGGATTAGCTTCCACAATGGTTGAACTAATTTACATTCCCTCCGGCAGTGTAAAAGCATTCCTATTTCTCCACAGCCCACCAGAATCTGCTGTTTCTTGACTTGTTAATGCCATTCTGACTGGTGTGAGATGGTGTGTCGTTGCGGTTTTGATTTGCATTTCTCTAATGATGAGTGATGTTGAGTTTTTCGTATGTTTGTTGGCTGCGTAATTGTCTTCTTCTGAGAAGTGTCTGTACATGTCCTATGCCCACTTTTTGATGGGGTTTTTTTCTTGTAAATTTAAGTTCCTTGTAAATTGTGGATATTAGACCTTTGTCAGATAGGTAGATTGCAAACATTTTCTCCCATTCTGTAGTGTTTCCTGTTCACTCTGATGATAGTTTCTTTAGCTGTGCAGAAGCTCTTTAGTTTAATGAGATCCCATTTGTCAATTTTGGCTTTCATCGCAATTGCTTTTGGGATTTTCGTCATGAAGTCTTTGCCCATGCCTATGTCCTGAATGGTACTGCCTGGGTTTTCTTCTAGGGTTTTTATGGTTTGGGTTTGTACATTTAAGTCTTTAATCCATCTTGAGTTAACTTTTGTATAAGGTCCAACCATACAGTATGGCAAAGAGAGTATGGTGATTTCTCAAGGATCTAGAACCAGAAATACCATTTGCCCCAGCAATCCCATTACTGGAACAGAAAACCAAACACCACATGTTCTCACTCATAAATGAGAGTTGAACAATGAGAACACATGGACACAGAGAGGGGAACAACACACACCTGGGCCCATTTGGGGGTGGGGGATGAGGGGAGGGAACTTAGAGGATGGGTCAACAGATTTAGCAAACCACCATGGCACGTATATACCTATGGAACAAACCTCCATGTTCTGCACATGTATCCCAGAACTTAAAGTAAAATGTTTTAAAAAAGGAAATGGGATTAGTATGACTGGTTTAGACCAATCATAATTTTTACTTCCAGGCTAAGCATTGTGCTACCTGAATAAAAGTCGGGTTCTGTTAGCAAATAATAAAGGGGAATAGTTCAGGGTAAGCAACCTGCAGAGATTGCTCAAGTGAGCATGGAAAAGTTTTGGAATAGCAGCTGCATGGATAATGTCATAGGAAATCTATAAGACGTGAATAAAAGGATTACTGGGCAGCTGTCTGTGCAACATTGAAGCTGGGAAGGCATGAATTTATAGAGAACATGATATTCTAAATCTGAGACTTTTTTGGCAACACATAGCAGTCTAGGAATCAGAAGTAAATTAATATGTGGAGTATGGAAGGAAATAAGAATGCTAGGATGTTCATGGAAAAGGTGTGGGATGGCTGACCATGGGATCCAGAACTTTAGGAGGTAATGGAGGCAGCCATGAGTTACAAGCATTAAGAGAGGAAAAAAAGTACAGCTCTGGGTATCTGGAGATCAGGATGAAAAAAATGGAATGAACGGGTGGGATAAAGAAAATAGATGTTATTAAGTAAATCCAAGTTCACTGATATGGAACCATTTTACCTCAAAGTGTAGACATGGCAGAGGGAGTCTGAGGAAATTAGGATGTAAAGGCAGTGGATGTAAAGAAGTTAAGAATGTCAGAAGAACATCTATTCATGTGGTAGAGAGAATAGCAGGAATATAATATATATTATATATTATGTATATTATATATAATACACATAATATAAATTATATATAATATACATAATATATAGTATATATATTAAATATTTATATATTATACATATAATGTATAAAATACATATATGTATAAGATATAAACATATTTCATATGAAATATTTCATATAAATATATATTTTATATTTATATGAAATATGTTTTATAAATACAATTATATTTGTATATATTTATATTTTGTATATATATAAATTTTGCCTACATGGTCTTGTACTTCTAGCTTTATCGTATTTTCTTTCAGGCCGAGGTGCATATTTCACATTTCTTTCTTATCCTAATCTAGAAATGGGGTGAGGGGACATAGTGTATGTGGTGTTGCTGGAGACATTCCCTAGGATTCTGAGATTTCACAGGAGCTTCAACTAGCATTATCATATTAGACCTGCACAGTTAGCTTTTAAATACTTTCATAAAACCAGAGAATAGTTTTGCATCGTTAACTTGGTTGGAGGTATTATGTGTGGATACAGCTCTTTCTCTTGTAGTTTCCAGTTGCACTCTCATCCTATCTACCAGTGGTGCATTTTCCCCAAATACAATCAATGGCTGTGCCTGGAAGATGCAAGTGCAGGTAGATCCCCAGGATGCTGCAGAATACCTGCCTATGAATATGCAGAATACGCTGCAAAATACCTGAGACCTATCTGGCAGCAAAAAGGCATTTGTTGTTCTGAGTCTAAAAACAGGAGGCTAGAAAATACATCAAACAGTAGTCAAGGGGTTGAATACACATTGTGACATTTGTACAAAGCGATGTTCTATGGCCATAAAATCATGTTTAAAAATGTGTTAACATAAAAAGCACAATGTCATTTTAGATTAATATTTTTATGCACGTGAAATATCTGCAATATTTGATTATGAGAATATGGATTATTTTTTAAATCATGTTTAGGATTTTATCATGTTTCCCAAGTGAGCGTATATTATTTCAGTAATAATTAATTGTTTAACAAATAACAGTGATAACAGACCTGGCTAACTCTGCCCTTTAAAAATGGTGGGTGCCAGATCTGAAAAGAAAAGAATTGTGGAGGCTTATCCTCTCAAAACACCAGAAGGCTTTTTCCTGTACAGAGAGAAAGAATTCCCACCAGATTCCTTACACTAGTCCCAGCTTTGTGGTCCCCCTCCCTTTCTTCCAAGTAAGTCCTTAGTGTCTCTGTCTCTGTCTCTCTCTCTCTCTAGGTAAGTAGGTAGTAAGATTAGCTTCTGAGTCACCATAATGCATACAGCTTCATTTCCTTCATTTCCTGTTTGGGAGCTAAGCCAGAAGGTCTCAGCACAGTCTGATTCAGCCTCTGTTTGTGTAAATATTACGCCAGGCTCTTTCCAGCCCCTAAGGCAATTTCCTTTGCCCCTTCAGAAAGCTTGTGCTTTATCAGCTTATTACTTTCTGGGTTGCCAGAATTGCCAGATTGAAAACACTCTGCACTTGGTGAAGACAACGATGAGCTTTTTGCAGGCTGCTGCTATTCAAACAGGGCTAAGTCCATCACAGTGGTGAGGGGCCTTTTGGCTTGGGTTTGGGGAGCTCCATGGAAAGCAGGCAGAGAACTGAAAGGTCCCTCTTGGGCTGATGACTGGACTCTCCCAGGAGACGCGTCTGTGCCACTTACCAGGACTCTCTGCTGTCACCTCACTATTGGCTCTTTGAAAACAGCAGTGTGTGTGAAATATCCTATCATAAAACAAACAAGTAAAACCCAGTCATGATTGCACCCCAGGATATTTCCATGGTCGGCTACTCATTTTTTTGATGCTTTTTTCAATTGGCAGGCTTATTTAAAAGCCTTTCTTCCTTTTGAATGTCAGAAATTCCCAAGGAGCATTTTGATCTCTTGCACTGTCTCTTCAGGAACTTACCTACTTCCTGTCCGACTTTTCCCCAGCAGATTGATGAATCCTAGAATTAGATCTGTCTCCAGAAGCTTCAGTGTCCTCACTAGATACATTCGGATCCCCTTCACTGATTTTGTGTCTCTTCTTCACAGATTCAGCGGGTACACATGCAGGTTTCTTAAATGGATATCATGTGATGATGAGGTTTGGGATACGAGTGATCCCAAGGCAGTGAGCATTGTACCAATATGTAGTTTTTCAACCCTTCCTCCTTCCATCTCTCCACCCTCTAGCAGTCCCCAGCGTCTATTATTCCCATCTTCATGTTCATGAGTACCCAGTGCTTAGGTCCCACTTATAAGTGAGAATGTGCAGTACTTGGTTTTCTGTCCTTGCATTAGTTCACTCAGGATAATGATCTCCAGCTGCATCCATATTGCTGCATAGGACATGATTTCATTCTTTTTATGACTGCATAGTATTCCACATTGTATATGTACCACATTTTCTTTATCCAATCCACACCACTGGTGGGTATCTAGGTTGATTCCATGTCTTTGCTATTATTAATAATACTACAATGAAAATACGAGTGCATGTCTTTTTAACAAAATGATTTATTTTTCCTTGGGTAATCCAGTAACAGGATTGGTGGGTTAAATGTTAGCTATATTTATAAGTTCTTCAAGAAATGTCCAAACTGCTTTCCACAGTGGCTGAACTAATTTACATTCCCACCAACAGTGTATCAGTATTCACTTTTCTCTGTAGCCTCACCAGCATCTGTTACTTTTTTACTTTTTCATAATAGCCACTCTAGCATGAGATGGCATCTCATTGTGGTTTTGATTTGCATTTCTCTGATCCTAAAGGCTAACTCCAGCAACCTTCTTCAGAAGGCATTCCTTGGGCTACTGGAGCCACTTTGCCTAAAAAAACCAAGGGCCTTAAGTGCCTGAAAGTTGGTCCCTTGGGGCAGACCATAGCAAATGACTGATGCAATGGTATAAAAGCCCAGATATATTGCTTTGAGCAGGACCAGCTTTGTGGTGTGATGTATTCTTCAGAGTTCCATTTGGCTTTGGAGAAGGCTGAAACGTCACCGAAACTTCACTCTTGTCTGACTCCTTTCTTACGGAAAGAACTCCTACAAGCCACTCTTTAATGTCACGGCCACATGAATTTTGTCTCAGCATCTGCTTCTGAGGAAGCTGAGCTAAAATACTGCTGAATCTGTAATTCACTTTCACAGATGCCTACTAAATATGGTCATCTGGATGAACACAAACACCTGAAACTCAATTTGTCTACAACCGAATTTATCCTTTTTCTCCTAGTCCTTGCTCCCCTTTCCATACTCCCAAGTTTATAAATGTACCAAGTTGTCTAAGAAAGACAGTAACATGGAAGTCATACTAGATGCCTCCCTTCCTCAAGCCCCGCATTCACTTCATCACAATTTCCTCCCATTTTTAACTCTCCAGTTTCGAACCTTTCTTCTTGTCTCCATTAGCACTGCCATGATGTTTTAGGAAACATCCTTTTTTTTTCCTAATCTCTCAGTCCTCAGTTAGCCCTTAATCCTACCCAAGCTGGGCCCCAAAAGAAAACCTTTCCCCTTTCACCAGAAATTTCAACTCTTTTTCTTCCCCTTCCTTCTGCTGCACCCAGGACTTCTTACTCCAAATCTCTTCTATGGTGTTTTCTCTCCTCTCTCAGTTAAGCATTGCTAGAGAAAAAAAAAAAAAAAAGAAACACCCAACCTTGTATATGATTTGTAAGTCATCACAAAAGTTTAAATTTCAACACAGAACTTCATTCATTTTATTATTTTTTTGAGACAGAGTCTGGCTTTGTCACCCAAGCTGGAGTACAGTGGCACAATCTCTCCTCGCTGCAACCTCGGCCGCTCGGGTTCAAGTAATTCTCGTGCCTCAGCCTCCCAAGTAGCTGGGATTACAGGTGTGTGCCACCACACCTGGCTAATTTTTGTATTTTTCAGTGGAGACCGGGTTTCGCCTTGTTGCCCAGGATGGTCTCAAACTCCTGGCCTCAAGGCATCTGCCCACCTCGGCCTCCCAAAGTGCTGGGATTACTGGTGTGAGCCACTGCTCCCGGCCTTCATTCATTTTAGAATGTGAGGGGTCTTCTACTTCATAACCAATCCAGTTCCTGCTTATGTTTTTTTGTCTCTCAAATCTTTTCGTTTCCTAAATTTTTCCAAATTTCATCCTTCTCTATGGGTTTTCCTCTCAAGAAAAGTTCTATTTCATCCTAAAACACACATACACATACAAAACAAAACAATCTTTATCTTGACTTTTTCTCATACTTCAGCCACTTTCCTAATATTCTTCACTATGAATCGTCTAGTAATTTTAAGAAGCCATGAACTCTGTCTCCACTAGAAGGTCTTCAGTATTGTTACTATGCTTTCAAAGTTTTATCATGATTTCATCTTTTCCATTTAAACATTTGATGCATTGTAATTTATTTTTGAGTAAAGGTATAGATATAGCTATATTTTTTAAGAAACTGAATCAATTATCCCATCACTATTTCCTAAATCCATCTTTTCATACTTATTCAAAATTTTGCCCCAATTCCTCCTCTGTAAGAGGACGATAATAATAGCATCTACTTTATGGGGGTTGATTTAATGCTTAAGTGAGAGTATTTCTAAAGGACGTAAAAGCATGAAAGTACATAGTAAATACCCAATATTTCTGCACTTATTATCTACAACATGATTTTTAGTTTATTTCTGGACTATCTTCTGATAGGTTAGTATGTCAATTTGCGGACTATCTCCCCCTTACTTTCTAAAAAGAAAACCTCTTTTTAGAGGTTTTCTGGCTATTCTTACATAGTTATTTTCTTATTTCATCTTTCCATGCCTGTGTTTGTGAATCTGCACTTCTCAACCACAGTTGGGTTTTGAAAGGAGTCAGTCCTTGTTTACAGGAATCAGGATGTGAATGTTCTCAAGTATGTAGTCTTTATCCTGAACTACAGTAGAATGTGCTTGTTGCTAGTGGATTAGGGGGAATTCTTTTCCTACTGTAGCTTCCATATTGGGAGCAGAAGTTTCTCTCATCCTTGTCACATGAAGAGGGATAAATGTTGTTGAGTGGATTTGAATCCGTTTTATATATTGCCTAGGAAGTCTAGAAATTACTGACATAGGACCTGGTATAAATGAACTAAACCCATAAAATAAGTGAAACACTGAAGATTCCATTTAGATATTTAAATAAAATGGCCCCAGCTCCGAATTAAAAATAAGTAAATAAAGTAAAATAATCTTTCCTTGCTAACACCAAGCCAAGGAAAACATGGGATATTTCTAATATTATACATAACTTTAAGAAGATCTGGATTTTTAAAATATTTTTTGAGTTTTCCTATCAAGAGACATTATTATTTTAAATATTTACATCTCATTGTTTCTACATATTCGTTTAAACATTTTTGGACTTGTTTTTCTGTTGATCTCTCTTTCTATTCCTATACCAAACCATATCATTTTAATTGAGCTTGCCTTGTATCATTTTTTGATAGCTCATAGCGCAATTTCTCTCATATTTACATCCATGATATTTTTAAGCATTTCCTCTTCTAAATAAATGGTAGGCTCAGTTTATCAAAGTTCATTTAAAATCTGCTTGTAATTACATTAGGAGTGTTTTACATTTGCAGGCCTGGCATTTTTATAATCCTTGTTCTTATTTTTTAAAATAGAATACCATATTTATTCTATCATTTATTCCATTAATTAAATTTACTAATTCATCAGTAGTCTTACCTATGTCCTGTTAAATTTTTTTACAGATATCTTAAGATTTTTCTTTTAATGGACATTGGGAAATGAGTGTTTCTCCTGTCATATTCTTAGATTTTACTCTTGACTAATAGGATATAATCAGCAGTTAATTTTACTTTACTAAATTCTTCTTCGTTGCAATAATTGCAGTGATTATTATGAGTGCTTGAAAAGAATGTATACTCTTTAATTACTAGACAATATTCTGTATATTATATGGAAATTTATGAAATTGTCAATTTTCATTTATCAAAAATGTTTGAATAGTGACAATTTCTAAATAAATATGTATATATCTACATATATGCACATATATAATTTCTTAATCACTTAGTGACAAACTCTAAATTCTGTCATCATAATGATGTATTTAAATTTTTCTTCTTGTAAATCTGTCAGGTTTTGCCTTATACAATTTGAAGCTTTATTATTAGTTGCATACAAATTTACATCTTCTTGGTAAGTTGTTCTTTTTATGATTATGTAGGGAAGATTTTTCTGTCTTAAAATATTTTTCTTAATAGTGCTATAGCTTCACCAGCATTCTTTTGGTGAGTTGTCTAGTGTAATTTCTTTTATCTTTTTTTTTTTTTTTTTTTTGAGACGGAGTGTCACTCTGTCGCCAGGCTTGAGTGCAGTGGCATGATCTCCGCTCACTGCAACCTCCGCCTCCTGGGTTCAAGTGATTCCCCTGCCTAAGCCTCCCGAGTAGCTGGGACTATAGGCACATGCCACCACGCCCAGCTAATTTTTGTATTTGTAGTAGAGATGGGGTTTTACCATGTTGGCCAGGATTGTCATGATCTCTTGACCTCGTGATCCGCCCGCCCTGGCCTCCGAAAGTGCTGGGATTACAGACGTAAGCCACTGCCCGGCCTATCTTTCTGCTTTTAACTTCTCAGTATACTCTTGTTTTAGATGTATTTCTATAGCTGGAATTGTTTCTTTTTTCTCTGTATTAGACATTTTTAGTTGATAAGCTTAGTCTTATTGATATTTTAAAATTTAGGTTTACTCTCGTTTTGTGTTTCTATTTATCATGTTTCTACAGATTTTTTAACCTTTTTTTTTCACTGACGTATATATGTCGTATTCATTTGTTAGCTGATTGCCTCAGCTTTGTAGCACCTATCTTTCCTAAACAGTGCTTAAAGTTAATCATAATTGCCAGTTTTCTCCCAAAGCATTCAAGAGCCTTAGAATGCTTTAATTTCAATTTCCTATCTTTCATTTTACATCATATTTTGGCCAGTATGTTAGTTGTACTTTAAATATCCTTCAATACTATTATTATTTCATACAGTTAATGTGAGTTCATATGTTTTGCGTGTTTGCCAGTTTATTTGCTTACCATTCTACATTACATAGTCTGTCTTCCCTTTGGTTTCTATTGTTTTCCTTCCAGGATTATGTTCTTCAGCAAGTGTATGTTAATGTTAAACATGGTCTTTGTAGAAAGTTTGTTTTTTCTCTGTGTTTGTTTAAAGGATCTCTTTTTCTTTTGGTGTTTCAAAGTTCACTGTGATGTGTTTGCCTAAATTCAGTTTTATTTATCCTTCACTGCATTCCTTAGGCTTCTATAATTGGGGCTATTTATGCCTTCTTTTATTTCTGAAAAAATTCTGTTCATTGAACGTTTATACACTGTTGGTGGGAGTGTAAATTAGTTCAACCATTGTGGAAAACAGTGTGGTGATTCCTCAAAGAGCTAAAAACAGAACTATCATTCGACCCAGCAATCCCATTACTGCATATATACCCAAATATATAATCCCATTACTGAGTATATAAATTGTTCTCTGATAAAGACACATGCACATATATGTTCATTACAGCACTATCCACAAAGTGAAGACATAGAATCAACCTAAATGTCCATCAGTGGCAGATTAGATAAAGGAAATCTAGTTAATATACACTATGGAATACTATGTAGTCATAAAAAAGAGTGAGATCATGTTCTCTGTAGCAACATGGATGGAGCTAGAGGTCATTCTCCTTAGCAAACTAATGCAGGAACAGAAAACCAAATACTACATGTTGTCACTTATAAGTGGAAGCTACATAATGAGAACTTGTGGACACACAGAGAGGAACAACAGACACTGGAGCCTACTGGAGGGTGGAAGGTGGGAGGAGGAAGAGGATCAGGAAAAATAGCTAATGGATACTAGGCTCAATACGTGGGTAATGAAACAATCTGTACAGCAAACATGCATGACACAAGTTTACCTATATAACAAACCTGCCCATGTACCCCTGAACTTAAAAAAAAATTGTAAAAACAAAATTTTACCCACTACCTCTTTAATATTGTTTTTCTCATTCTTATTATTCTGTCCTTCCAGAACTCCAATCTGCAACCGTACTCAAAGATCTAGAGAAGAGGAGCTCTGGTCTTGGATTTCATGTCTTAGAGGTCCTGCATCTCACAACACACACTTTCCCTCCCTCCCTCCCTTCCTTCCTCTCTTCCTTCCTTCCTCTCTCACTCTCATATTTAACATGTATTGTCATCCCTCTCTCACTCATATTTAACAAGTATCATCACTTGGGATTCAGTACTCAATGTTGGTACAATTTAACTTATAACTAAATATCTGGTCTTAAAATTAGCACCATTTAGGCCCCAAGAAGTCTTCTTCATTATATTCTTGCAAAAAAAGCAGTTAATTTGAAATGTTATTAAATTTTGTGGGTTGTGTGACAGCCAGTGTCAAAGATGGATGGTGCTTTGTAATGCGAAGAGGATTTGAGCAATAGCAGACTTGAGGTAGCAGGAAGTTTACCTAACTTGCCAATTCTTCTTTTCTGAAAGGATGAATACAAGGGATTCTTGGGTAACACAATACATTTCCAAGCAGTGCCTTGAGTCCACTCTCTTGCTTGTCTTCTTATTTCAATTCGTAGTTCCAAGATACCTAGCAGTTAGCCTGGATAGCAACAGTTGAACCTGGTGACTGTGTTAGTTCATTCTCGCACTGCTATGAAGAAATACCTGAGACTGGGTAAATTATAAAGGAAAGGGGTTCAATTGACTTACAGTTCTGCATTGCTGAAGAGGTCTCAGGAAACTTATAATCATGGTGAAAGGCAAAGGCGAAGTAGGCACCTTCTTCACAGGGCAATAGGATGGAGTGAGTGCAAGACAGGAAAATACAAGACACTTATAAAACCATCCGATCTTGTGAGACTCATTATCACAAGAACAGCATGGAGAAAACTGGCCCCATGATCCAATTACCTCCACCTGGCCCCACCTTGACACACGGGAATTATGGAGATTACAATTCAAGGTGAGATTTGGGTGGGGAAACAGAGCCAAACCTTATCATTCTGAGCAACATTTTGCAATACCAAGCAATTTCTGTGGAATGGTTAATTTTATGTATCAACTTGACTGGGTTAAAGGATGCCCACATAGCTGGTAAACATTATTTCTGGGAGTGCCTGTGAAGGTGTTTCCAAAAGAGATTAATACTTAGGTCAGTAGACTGAGTAAAGAAGCTCCTTTTTCACCAATACAGATGGGTATCATCCAATCTTTTGAGGGCCTTAAAATAACAAAAAGGCAGAGAAAGGCTAAGTTCTCTCTCACTTCTTATGCCAGGACATTTATCTTCTGCTGCCCTCAGACATCAGAGCTATTGATTCTTTGCTCAACCCCTGGGTCTTGGCTCTCCAAGTTCTCAGGTCTTTGGCCTCAGACAGAATTACACCACTGGCTTTTCTTGTTCTCCAGCTTGTAGATTGCATATTGTGGGACATCTTGACTTCCATAATCATGTGAGCCAATTCCCAAAAATCTCCTCTTCTGTATATGTGTAGATATATGTATATATATCATATTGGTTCTGTTTCTCTAGAGAACCTTTTATTCTAGAGAATTCTAGAGAAAATTTTATAAATTATATAATTCGTAAATTGTGTATATTATTGTATATTATTCAAACATCTTAGTTCATCAACGGAAAATCCAAACATGCACATTAGTAATTTAGTTATCTTTGCTATTCTTTTAGTCATATGAAAGTCTTATATTGTTATAAAGGTATATCTGTCAAGGAAGAAAGATAAATCATTCAATAATTTGTTAGCTTGATAAATTTTAAATATTTAGACATACGTTATATGGACCTGCATTTTTACTATTATTGGGACCCCACAAATATCTTCCAGACAGGATAATAATTTGACATTCTTCGAGATTAATGTTTTAAACTTCTTTAGTTAATGCAAGGAAAAATTATTTGCTGAAAATATGATCTCCTTCATGACTCTTAACATCTTTCATACTTGCCATGTCTCTCCCTTGACTTAATTCCAAAAACCATTTTTATATCTAGAAGTTCTGTTTGATTTCTTTTAACATGCTGCCAAGTGTTTTTATATTATCTTTTGGTTTTGGGTCCTTTTGAAAAAATGTGTTTACTAGTTTTAAACATTCTTATTTAATAGCTCTGTTATGTGACACTCTTGAAATCCTAAACTTTTCGTCTCTCATTCATAATATTTTGTTTTACGGTGTCTTTGGCCATTTTTAGGTCACGTGGTCATTATTCTAAGGGATTTATCAACGAAGACTTTAAGAAATTTAGACTAACATTGTGTACTGCTAGAATGGTTTTTGATTCTGCTATGTATCACAAGATATTACCAACCCCAAACCTCTTTTTGTCTTACCTTCTTGGCATAGGAATACCTAATAAAAAATAGTCTTCAAATGCAAATAAAGACAAGTTTATAATTATGAATTCATGGGAAAATTTTATGTTTCTATTCTATTCCATAAGTGAGAAAAGATGTCATAATGCTGATATGTGTGCCTTTTCTTGGCACAGTGTGTCTGAGGCTGTGAGGCTTCAGCACTTTGAGGATCAGAGTGTGATGTGGTTGCCTCAAGTGCATTTCTTTACTCCACATGGATTCCAGTGCTCAGCTCTTGACCCCATGTAGGGCAGAAATTCAGTTGACACATCAGTTTCCCTAATTTATTTTTCTTCTTCCTTCTTCCTTTGTCATTTTCTTTCTGCTTTCTTCCCTCTCCCCCTCTTTCCCTTCTCTTCCATCCTTGACTAGGTAATAAATGCATGTGATACAGATTTTAAAATACAAGAGAGTATACTCTGAAAAATAAGTCACAATCTATCCCTGAAGCCCCACTACAATGGTCCCTCACTGGAGGCCACCCTCATTGTCAATTTCGTATGTAATCTTCCAGAAATATTCTGTGCACACTCATGTGGGTTTCTTCCCATACATATGTAGCCATGCAATACATCACCTTCTGTACCATTTTCTTTTCTTGGCTCAAAATACCTTTTCGGTGGTCATTCTCTCTCCATATATAAAGAAGTATCAGTATTCTTCTTAGTGAGGCATACTATTCCAAGACATGTACCTACTGTCTGCTATTCATTATTTGCTAATTTAAAATGTGGTCAATCTTTTGCTTTTACAAATAATACACTGCAATAAGAACCTTGTATATAACCACTTTTATTCCATATGAGAGTATCAGCTGATTCTTAGAAGTGGAATTATGGTTCAAAGTATATATGCATGTTATATATATAGATATATATTTTTCTCTATATAGATTTTACTGATTTAAAGTTTATCACAAATGCAAGAATGTGTCTATTTTCATGCTCTCATAAGCACAGTGTGCTCATAAATTTTGACCTCTGCCAACAGGAAAAAATAAAATAACATTTCATTGGAGTTTTAATTTTCTTTTCTCTTATGAATGAGACTGAGCTTTAATAATGTTAGAAGTCATCTGTATATCTTTTTCTATAAGCTTTGTGTTCATATACTTTGGCTATTTTTGCAATGGTTATTGGACTTCTGTTGAATCGTAGCAGATAAGCCCCCCTCCATGTGAGCAGGTGAAGTTCTCACATCCTATTCAGATCCATCCTCAAAGCCTGATGCTACAGCAACTGATCCAACCAGTAAGTCTGTTTATGCTACTTCTCCATTATTTAAATCCCCTTAGTGGGCCCATCAACAAAGAAAAAACTCAGATACCATAAAATGGCAGGTAAACCCTTCCATCATCTGGCCCCTATCTATCTCTTAGTTCTCTGTTGTAGTCATTAACTATTCCTCATTTTACAACCCTGCAACATCCAATTGTTTGAGGATCTCTTTTACACCATGTCACTCCCTCTATACTGTGCTCTGTTCCTAAAATAGACTCCCCCAAGTCCTCCTTTCAGCTGGTAACCTCTTATCCCTCTATTCTTCAGCCTTTTCTGGATTAACAACTTCTACTCATGCTCTATGTAGTGGTTAAACTATTCCCTCTTATAGAGAGCATGCTCTGACCTCAGAAAGCAGTAGGTGTCACTCTTCTGTACTCTCAAATCATCTGTTGTGACTATTAAAATTTTCTGATTCTGTGACAGCCTCTCCATGGAGCTGATAACTTATTTCTAAGGACTCTATTCTATTTATCTTTGAATTTCTGGAGTGTAACATAGTGTCTAACACACAACAGGTACTTAGCAGGATTTATTAACTAGGCAAATATATCCATCAAAGGAAGTTGGATAACCCACCCCAGGGATAGAGAATTAGAAAATGTATAGGAGGAATAAATGAATACAAAAGTGTGACCTGTCCCTACCTTTCACCAAATATGCTGCTGTGCAGATGTATTTGGTTTCAGTGTGGTTATACTAAGAAACATGGAGACTGTGGCTGAAAAGGGGAATGGACATATGTTAGTCTGTGTGTTTGTGTGTATGTTTCCAGGAGGACTTGAACATGATAGATATGTGTAAGATAAACATCTATAATTTAACAAATAATACAAATTAATTGTTTGTTTCAGAGTGTGATAAAATATTATTCCAGAAACTGGGAGAATTCATGCCTTTCCAGAAATAAGGAATATTCTCATGCAACCTGAATTGGTCTAACAGTGTTGATTAGGAATTATTATCATCACCATAATGTAATTGCTATTTTCAGCAGTATTTTTAAATTTTTTCCATGACTGAGATGACTCAGCTATTTAAAGAAAAATAAAAGTACAAATGAGTGGATGAGTGTGACCTGAATGCCCTCCTCAGATAATTAAAGCCATGACCCTCTCAGCTGTTTCCACTGTTACACACACCCTTTCATAAAAGCTATGCTATGAATAGTCAGCCAGCACAATATTGAATTTATTAGCGAGTCACACCATGTCACTTGAAGGTCTTCCTACGCTCTTTACTTGGGTCGAGGTCCCCAGAAAATTAGATGAATTCTGTGAATCTGTACACTCCCTTTACACCAAACAGTTATCGTCATGTTTACAGCAAGAGAAGGAGATATTGAGTTCAAAATCCTAGGCCTGAACCTTCTCTGTTTAAGTTATCTGATCTCATTGAACACTTGTTGTAAGCAGATAAGAGGAACAAGGAGGGAAAGGGTCCCCAGTCTCATACTAGGGGTTTGCTTTCTTACATCGTGGTCAAAATTGGCTTCTAAATCCTTCCTTGAGAATCCAACCATTTTAAGTAGGACGCTTGTTTATAAGAGGCAGAAATACAATTAAAAATAGACTTAGGGGAAACAAACATGGAAAAGGGAGAGAGGTTTTGTTTGGTCTTGTTTTAAGATGACAGGGAGCTTCCATCCTCAAAGAGTTAAACAGTCAACTTTGGAATCAAAGAAGTTCTGGTCCTCAGGCAGGAAAAAAAGAAAACAAAACAAAACAAAAAACAGAGTTCCAATGTTGTCATCACCCTCCCTCGCTGCTTCTCTCATCTCTGTTTCTCTTGGCCTGATAGTTTTATTCTTTCTTATTATAAGATGGTGTCTTCACACATTGGGAGATGTGACTCTAAAAGCAAGGGGTTCACAACCTCACAACCTCACACTAGAGAAATTGGGGGTTGTCCCCATAGCTCCAGTTGAATATATTATTGGAAAGGAATCTGGTTAGCCAGGCCCAGCTTAGGTTAAGCTACCTGGCCACCACTGGATAAATCACTATGGCTGAGCAGGGAGCTACTGTGGTTGCCCCAACTTGAATTGTGTCCACTCCTTTGACTAATTACTAAACTTTGACCAAACAACTGGAGATCAAGGGGTTTGGAGGCACTCTCAGAGACCCACAGAGTGAGAGAAAGGGGTACTGTCAACAGTAGACAAAGGGAGGGGTTTAGGCAGAAAAACAAAACAAAACAAAACAAAAAACAAAATTCATGCACCTTAGAAACCAGCAGCATAACATTGATTTTATGGAACATTATGTTCTGAGTTCCAACAGTTCTCTTGATAAGTGAACTCTGTGAACTTACAGGTTTGGGACCGCCTATGTTTGAATAATTACAGAAGGGGAAAAAAAGACAATGGTTATGAGAGAAAGTCCATCATGTTAGTCCTCATCTGTTTTTCCCTTGAAGAACAGGCGTGGCTTTCCTTTGGGGTTCTGGTTGTCCCAACTGAAATTGCTTCCTTAGTTGTTAGGGCAGAGACACTACCCTTTAGGTCAAAGCTTAAAGTCAGCCTGATTGTCAGCATTTATAAGGGCATTAGTAGCAAATCTCTCCTATCCTTTGAGGACTGAATGAGGCTCTTCTTTACTTTTAATGGAATATAAGACATATAGAGTATTATCTTGTTCACAGCTCAGTGTTTATTATACATACTATGAATATGTAAATTAATATTATACAACATCTATATACTGTATATATTTTAGTCTATCCCAAAATACTTGCCCCAAGGCTCATATTAGAATATCCCCCATGTTGAGATTTTTGTAGTAATTTTTCTTATACTATATAGACATATTTTGTGAGACAATTACTATATAGAAATACTGTGATGTACATTGTATTTTTTATATAATCCCAAAATAGTATGAATTAATACCTCTCAAAAACCATAGTATGTTTACCTTGTCACGTAGCCCTGTCCTAGGGCAAATGAGTAACTCATCAGCTCTGAAGAAAGACCTGTAGGAATGCAAGAGTGGGAAAAGTTGCTCAGATATTTTTGGCAGAGAACTCTGGAAAGATTTTTTTAAGTTATTTCACGCAATTACTTCACAAATGTTAAAAAAGAAAACTAAGAAATCTGAACATGGAAATTTTCTCAAAATGCAAAACCCAAACTCAACAGTCACAACTGAAATATAGTTGATAACAGCTATAGAATTCCATCAACTTTCTAAGGAAAGGCTTATAGGACAAGAGTGTATTTTTTTGTTTGTAAAGTAAAAATGTCCCTCCCCTATGCTTTATTTTCATTTTTTTTCTCCCATCACTGTGGAAGAATGTAAGATTTCATAACAACAGACATTTAGCTTGCTTGTGATTGAGTCACTGTATGCAAATATTTCACTATGCTGGAAAAGAGAATTGGGAAAGAGAATCGTTCTTCCTCCCTCTGGAATTCTTTATAAACTCCCTGGAGCATTTGAGGTAACAGCATGGCTACCAAAAGCTGTCATGTTCTGTGATTTAGACATAAGCATGCACTTTCAGAGCCATCGAACAAACGAGTTTTATTTGGGAACACTTTATGTACCCAGTGTGAAATAGGTCAGACTCCTTCAAGTAACCTTCAACTTTTACTGGAACTGATCTCAAACTTGCAGCTTAGAGGAAACAGGGTACAAACCTTGCCCTGTCTGTATTCAACCTTTTAAAATGCTTCTGTGGGACACGGATGTTTTGTTATTTTCTTAGCTGATGGTGAGAAACCCACTGAGATTTACATCTGCTTTGTTGCAAAGCTAAATTTAGCCTCCTTTTGACAGTTTACTTTGGCCCTAAGTCATTTCCGTTGGTCAGATACCTTTCACTGTCCAACTCATCCCATTGGCATAGATAGAGTATTAAATGGAATTAAAGATTTACGATCTCATGTGACTATCATTTTGAAAATGGACTTAGTCTACAGAGTTGGTGGTAACTCTTGTGGTTTGAGTTTGAATAACTGTCCGGTGTATTTACAGATCTCCTCCAATGTTAGCTATACTACTTGAAATCAACAATTTCAGAAAACGTGCTGTGCAAAGCAATGGCAAGTATCCAAAAGAACGAATGTCTTAAAATTCAGTATTTTTTTGAATGCAGAAAGGTATTGAGTGGAATTACTATACATTAAATAGCTCAGTTTCCGTTCCTTATCTGTTGATGGGTTTTTTTTTATAACTAGCTGGGATTGGACAATAAAAGTAGTATATGTTATAGTTTCATAAATACATTAAACTGGGGATTGGAAACTTCTAGTTCCAGCCCTGGCATTAAGTCGTATGTTGCCTAGAATAAATTACTTCAATTTTCTGAGATTTCTTTTTCTATCTGTACACAGCCAGCCTTCCATATCCATGGGTTCCATATCCATGCATTCAACTAACCTTGGATCACAAATATTCAGAAAAAATAAAAAATATAAAAGGATACAAAGAAAAATAATAGAGTATAACAACCATTTACATGACATTTACATTATATTAGCCATTATAAGTAATCTAGAGATGCTTTGAAGTATATGGGAGGATACGCATAGGTTATATGAAAACACTACAACATTTTATAGCAGCGACTTGATCATTTGCAGATTTCTTTATCTGTGGGGAATGCTAAAACCAATCCCCGATGATTTCAAGGACAACTGTATTATTTAATGATAACCACTGTAACAAACAACTACAAAACTTTGAGAGTTAACATAACAAAATATATGTCCTAATGACACAAGGTCCAAAGAGGATTTTCTATATCAGGTGACTCTTGGGTTTCACTTGGGGTGGCAATTCTGCCAAGAAGTAATTCAGGGACCATTTCCTTACATATTGTGACTGTCTCAACTTGGCATCCTTCATTTTTGGTTTTCAAACAGGGAGAAAGCATGAGAAATTTTGTAGGATGATTTTGGAGTGAGATCTGAAAATGACTTATACCATTTTTGTTCACATTTCATGGACTAGAACCCTTTAATATCCACAGAATAGATAACTTGCATTCACTCAGAACATTGTGAATAGAAAGTTACATTCCCTAGATGTAAAATGAATTTCCCACATATTTACATGCAACTTATGGGCACTTAACAATTTTTCTTGTTGATGATACTAGAAACTGATAGACTTGAGGATGGGATGAAACAGCTGAGACAAGAACAGGAAAGGTTGGGTACAGCAGAAAATAATCTTTTTTATTTCAAGATTTGATCTTAGACAGTCTTGGCATGGGTAAGAAAGTCAATACGGGACCAAGCAGTCAAATCAGAGCAGAGAATTCTCCTATTTACAGACATCTCCAGTTTTATCGAAGGACCTGGTTACATTCTCAGTCATGGCAAGGCAATTTTGTGTTAACATAATAGAAGACTTCTAGGAAGAAGAATGGGCCCTCAAAGCTCTTCAAAAACTTTTACTTTAGAGTTGTATGAGGTTTATTTTATTGTTGGTGGTGTTCTTTTTTTCTTTTGTTTCATTTTTAAGATGAAAAACAAATCCTTGTGGATCAAAGAGTCTTGTTTTTGTGGGAAGTTTTCCAAAATCCATAAGCTATTCATGAAGAGACTTCTTCAAACACACAATGATTTCAACAAAAATAAGACAAAGCTGTTGGATTTTTGCCCTGTGTTGTTAGGGACAAAGGCGTGCCTCTCAATTTGATAACCCTTTGCTATAGCCTGGCCTCATTACTTGAAATTGCCTGGTGACTTACATTAGTTGTGATGCCAATATGAGCCTGGTTTCCAAACTCTAAAGGCAAAGTGAGACATCTTAAAACCATAGCAGTATTCTCACACATCTAGGAAATTTAATAATGGCCAGTATTTATTAAGTACCAGGCACTATTCTGTTTATAGGTATTAACACGATGAAACCTCTTTTTGAGAGAAGGTTACTACCGCTTTGTCACCTTATTTTACAGATTAAGGAACTAAGGAGCAGCAGGGTGAAATATTTTTCTCAAAGTTACACACCTGAATAAAAAGAGAAGGCAGAATTCAAAATCCCGTATTCTGACTTCAGAGTCGAGTTCTCAACTGCAGTACATATTGCCTGGGGTGACATGAAATATCACCTTCAGCCACTTCCGATCAAAACCAAATTTTAACAAGATATTTTTAAAGGGAATAATGTATCCACATTGAAAATTAGAGAATAAAGATTTACACTCTAATAGTCCACAATCCAGGATAAGTCTTCAAAAGCATCTCTGACACGAAAAGCTTAGAAGTCATCATTCTCATCTTTTACAACAAGAAAAAGTTGAGCACAATAAAAATCCACCACCAAATCTGGACAGTGGCAGCTGAGGCCTGCCTACCTGCAGAACATAAGCCACTGGAGCTCCAGTAACACCCAAATAGCTACTTTCCTAAATTGCTAGAACATGACTTGAATAGCCTGTAATAAACTCCTGACCAGGCTCTCCTGGTGAAGCACTGAGAAAGATTCCCTCCTGGATCAAGGAAAGGGCAAGGTAACATTTGTAAAATATGCTTACAGCATTGCTCTAACAAGGTCCTACTCTACAGGGAAGAGTAAAACTTGAGCATAGCCTTATCCCAACATGAGAAATGAGCATTGCTCTCTCTTCAGCACCCGTCATTGATGCATCCTTCCAGAGAGGAAGATGGAATAGGCAGTGCTGTGCTTTCTTGAGCTTTAGCCTCTTGTTATGCCATTACAGTAAGTAATTAAATGCTTAACACTTTCATACTGGACTTGCTGCTTTGACTGGCTACTCTCATGCATGGCAGCTCAGCCTATCTCCCAGCTCAGCTGAGCTCCTGACATCTAAAATAGATTTTTTTTTTTTTTTTTGTAATTTACAACTCAATAATAAAAAGATGAATAATCCAATTAAAAGATGAGCAAAGGAACTGAAATGACATTTCTCTCATGGAGACATACAAATGGCCAAAAAGCTGATGAAAAAATGCTTAACATCCTTAAACATGAGGGAAATGCAGAAAACCACAATGAGATACCACTTCATATCCACTAAGGGGGCTATAATCCAAAAGGTGAATAACAAGTTTTGGAAAGATGTGGAGAAACTGCAATCACATATTGCTGGTGTGAACGTAACGTGGTGCAGCTGTCTTGGAAAACAATATGGCAACTCCTCATATCATCTGATCCAGCAGTTTCACTCCTAGCTATATATGTGAGAGACGGATTAAATGAGATGAAATGAAGTGAAAGGGAAATGAAAATGTGCTCATATAAAAACTTGTACACAAATGTTTGCAGCAGCATAATTCATAATAACTGAAAGGTAGAAACAACACAAATGTTTATCAGCTGATAAATGGGTAAATATCTTACATTCATACAGTAGAATATTATTCAGCAATAAAATGAAGTACTAATACCTGCTATAATATAGATGAAGCTTGGAAACATACTGAATGAGAGAGGATAGACCCAAATGACCACATATTGTATGATTCCATTTATACAAAATGTCACAAATAGATAAATTTATAGAGACAGAAATTAGATTCTTAGGGACTTACAACTAGCAAGGAAATGGAGAGATTGGTGGGTGACATCTAAGGCATACAGGGTCTCATTTTAGGATATGGAAAATATTCTAGAATTTATAGTCGTCAGGGATGCATAATTGTGAATTTTCCAAAAGCCATTGAATTTTAAACTTTAAGTGAGTGAATTGTAAGTTTTGTGGATTATACCTTAATAAAGCAGTTGAGAAATATATATATACATTGAAAGTGTTAAACACTGTATACAATTTCTAAACAAGAGTGAAATTATTTAGAAACATCTTGATCATATCTCCATAACACTTAAAATTCATCCAATATATTTGTTTCTTTTGTACACAGATATATTTCTAGTTCTTAAGACTGTATTTGCTCTATATTGGTATTCAATGATATTTGTTTACTTATATTTTTAAGTTGTAAAACAAGTAAAAATGAAATAGGCCAGAATGAATATGGCCAAATTACAATACCCCACTTACAAGCTGTCACATTACTGAGTAGCTAATGTATTGCTTTTCAAATAGCATATTAAGTGTTGAAGAGAATCTTCATTTTTGTCTTGATCTTGAAGGTAAAGGGACTAATACTGGCTGTTTCTTTGAGATAGCACACGTGTGTGCATGTGTGCATGTGTGTGTGTATTTTGGTGGGTAGGAGGAATCCTTGGTACAAAGAGCTAATGTAATCATAGTCTTCAGTAAATGGAACATTGTCATCATTGAGCTGCACAACCTGTTCTTCTGGTTTCTTGTTTTTGATTCATCCATTGATTTATTTGTGCATTTACTCAATTTTCTCATATCTCACTATGTCTCAACTATTCTAAATGATGTATAGCCTTTTTTACTTGTTCTTATATTCATTGCTGTTTTGTAGACATGTAATTTTGAATTTTAAATTTAATTTTTTTAAGGATTGTGTTAAGCTTCCTAGTTTTGCCCTTCATCACTGCTTTTAGGGTCAATCCATGTTTCTGTGTGTATATCTAGTGTGTTATTATTAACTCAGACTCATCCTCCATGGGGTTTACCTACAACACACACCTAATGGCTTCTCCAGTGATGGACATTCTACATTTCTACTACCCACTAACACAAATACTGCTGCAGTGAGTATCAGAGGGCATGTTTTTGAGTTTCTCTAGGATCATATGCCTTGGAGAAGGATCCGTGGGTCATGGGGAATAGATGGATTTAATTAGACTAAACATTGCTGGGTGGTTATGCAAAATAAGCTGTACCACCCTTCCATGAAAAGGGCATAATATATCCACAGCCACACTCCCCACTACCAACTGTCTAATTTATCACCCTCTGACAGACATAAAGTGATAATTATGGATGTTTCTATTTTTATTTTTAATACAATTGAGCATCTCTTTGAGATCTTCTATTCTGTGAATTCCTGTTCAAACCTCTTACCCATTTTCTATTAGGGTTCATGTCTTTTTCTTCTTATTTGCAAGTGTTTCTTATAACTTTTATATATTAATCCCTTGTCAATTTTAGACATTGCAAACATCTTCTCTCAGTCTAAATTTTCCATAATGTTCTATATTTAAGATAAATCTTTAATTTTTATGTAAATACATTTTGCCCTGATGCTTTCTGCATTTGAGGTTTTTATCAAATCTCAAGTGTTAATTATTTTAAAGTTATAAAATACCAAGTACCTAATGTACGTTTTTTTTTTTCAAATAGCATCTTAGTTAAGTGTTGCAGAGAATATTTTAGTTTATGTCCTGATCCTGAATGTCAAGGAGTTGCTCATCAATTCTAGACAGAAATACATTGTATAACTTTATGGTTTACCATTAAAATTTGACCTTTAGTCCATCTGCATCTAACATTATATATAGTTTTGATGAGGATTTATCTTCCAGTTCTATTCCTTTACCACTGTAAGGAATAAGCCAGGTATGTGATTATGTATCTGGAAAAAGATATATATTCAGGCAGAGGAATAGCAAGTATAAAATCCCTATGTGGAAATCAGCTTGGCATCTTCCGGGATCGGGAAGAATTCCACTGTGGTAGGAGAGCACAGAGCTAGGGAAGGAGCCATCATAAGTGAAGAAGTAGGCAGGAGCCATTCAGCAGAGTCCTTGAAGCCATGGGAAAATGGTAGATTTCATTCTAAGTGTAATTGCAATCCATTGGAGGGTAAGTAGAGTCACACAATTTGAGTTATGTTTTAAAGTAGATTTCCATGGGGCTTTCAATGATGGATGAGATTAAGAGCATTCTACTTCTTTTCTCCTGCTAATTATAACTTAACACTTCAAACAGAATACAAAAGCAACTAATAGAAGACTCTAAATAAATGAGTATTTGAAAAACCAGGTTCATTAGAGGCCTCAGGACTCCCCTGAGGTTATATTTTATTTTCCTTTTTTTTTTTTTTTTTTTTTTTTTCCCCTACTGACCTGATTTGCAGGCTATTGGGCTGATCCTAAACCCATTTGGTCCTGGGCATTACTGGTTCTGATGAGTGAATAATACCTGCTGTCTAAACATAAGCAGCCCCAAATCTTTTGTGTCTTATAAGAAACTGCTTTGGTGACTCCTACCTTTTCCAACAAAACATCATGTCCAGTGTGCATATACATATCTAGTTTGAATATTTCAAAAGAAATATCACCACTCAATATGTACTCACTTGAGGCTTTTAAAGGATACATGAGAAAGAGAATGCAAGCAGGTATTGGAAGTCTCCAGAGATATCCCATAGCTTGAACTCCCCAGGGCTCCATCTGCATATTAGGACTGGGCAGTGTCCTAGTGTGTCCATGATTTGAACTGTCATCTGTGTAAAAAACCTTGGCTCCAGGGGAGCACTCCAAAAAAATCTCAGTAGCTCTTTTAGTCAAACCAGGCTTATCAGACCAGTTAGTCCTGTTGCCTAACCATAAGTTAAGAAGGTAAACTTGGAATATGGCAAGGATGTTTCGGTCCCTAAACAGTACATCATAAATGCCACTGACCTTAAGAGTAAAAAACTTCCAATGTCTAAATATCCCCAAAGATTAAAAACAGAATATTTCCAGTACAGTTGTAAGTCAGCTCTATTCCAACAGCCTTCTAACTCTTGGTCAAAGCATTGCAAGTACAAATTGCTGATGGGTGTTCCTTTCCCTCTATCTTTCATATTATTTACAGAAAAAAAGAAAGAACAACTGCTAGAATACTATTTATTTGTATCAACAAAAAGTGTGGGTATAACTGTAAAGAAAGCTTTCAGTTTGCCAAAGATTCTAGAAGATTCCAGTGCAAACTTCTTCATAGTCATGCACAAGCTTGACAACAATTTGACAACCCTCTGCCACTAAAATGTAAACTTTATAAAGGGTATCAATGGATTGATCCAATGGAACGATTAATTCATTGTTAATAAATCTAGTTCCTCCTTTGCCCAATCAGCTTCTATTGGAAGAAAATCTTGTAAAGATTTTAATTCAATCTGACAATATATTTGGTCATCAATATCAGTGTTATAGGTTTAGTAAAAATCCATTAAATTAACCTTATAATTATACCAGCATTACACCAATTACCAATTACATTATGAATTAGATTAAGATCACTACAAAACAAGTCAGTTAAAATTACTGTCACATTTCCCTGGCTTTCCCAGCAAAAAGTGATTTTGTCCATACACCTAATGTTGTCATGGATTGAAGTATAAATCAAGAGCCAAGTTGCAGTTAGTTATGGATTCCAAGTCCCTTGTGGGCATAGTTATATGCTCTGTTTCATACTATAAGGTTTTACGGATACAGGTTCCCAAGGTGTTTATTTTTAAGAAATGTCTGTCTTTCCCCCACAGGTAAAATCTTGAAGTTTAATTAGTTTTAACTAACTTCACCAATGGGTACATCTGTTTTTATTTATGCACGGGACTCTGACAGTTAAGGAGCAGGCATGTAGATTGTATTCTCCGTTTAGAAATTTCCATGCACTCAGGAGACCATAAGTCTCCTGTAACTCATCCCTGGATCCCAGAACATTGCCCTTAAGCTAACTGCTTCCATCTGGAGGAGCATACTTCACAGCTCCTCTTTGGTTACTGTGAATGCTCTTTTCTACCTTTGTTCCCTAGGGTGCTGCCTAAGTATCTATTGAGCCTGTTTACCTATTTCTCCAAGGCTGTGTCATCTGCCCAGGCTTCTTGCTACCTTTTCCCTTTCTCTTGAAATAACATCCAATCTAATAGGCTAATATGGGCCAATAAGTCTGTTTCTTCAGTATATTTTCTATATATAATAAAAGTAAGTTTAGCTTGTCCCAGGAATCCTAGGACTATACCAGTTTCATCCAGGGCTCTTTTACAGTATTTTGGACAATGTTGGTTTACTGATTGGATATGCTGTTGCCATAGAGTCTTAGTGAGTACATACAAGTTGAGTACATATTTAGGACACAAAAATGCTGAATTCCTTAGGATGTCATATAGTTAGTAGTCATCCCCCAAAACACTTTAGTCTGAGTATGCCGGAATTTGCTATATACTCCCTTGGCAGACATTGGGGCTATCAGTAGGAGGTATGGGCCCACCAAGTCACCCCTAAACAGACATTGAAATCTGTTTGAAAAGTATTCTTTACATTGATGATTTCCCTCCATCCACATAAACATGGGTTATATGCATTAGGCCACGTAATACTATGACAAATTGAACCTGCAACAAATTTGTTCATCATGTTTAGGCATCTTCCTCAACAGGCCATCATTTAGTTTAACAGTTACACAGTGATCTATGGCTCTTTCCTGCATGGTACTTCCCAAAAGCTGTCTTTCGCAGGGTGTTGAAAATGTCATTGGGATGCTTCGTATACATGAACATATGTTAATGCTTCTTGAATTCCCTGAAGCTCATCCTGGACCTTCAGATTCAAGCAAAGGAGGAGTTTTCTGCAGACTTACACATTCACTCTCATGGGCATTTGTAACTATATCTGAGAGTAAATATCATTTTCTGTTCTAGCTTTTCCTTCTTAGCATTATCCATTTATTGGCTCTCTTTAGATTAGCAAGCACTTCTCCTTCTTTGATTTTCACCCACATCCTCCTTCTACCCCTGAAGTAAAGACATAAGGATCAGCAGAGGACTTACCTATAGAGGGGACAGCAATATGAGTCCTGCCAATGCCTTCCCCTTTATTCATTTCATTCCAATAGACTAGGGTTGGATATATATATGCTTATAGCACTGGCTCACCCACTAGGTAGGAAAGCAGAAACCGATCCAGTTCAGACAAGAGAAACACAACTTGTTATTCCCTGAGGGAATTGTACAGTGACATTGAGGGACATTGTCATGGTGTCATGTTAGCAATTGATCCTCATTCTGGAACTCTTGAATGCATTTCAACTGCTGGCATTACAAGATCAGGCAGAGAAGAAGAAACTAGTAGTAGAGAACAAGTTTATGTAACTTCCTATGCCCCATTCCTTCTTCCCTATCTTCCCCACAATATCTCAACAATTGATTCAAAGGCAAACCCTCTTTACTTCCACACAGTCTACATTTTAACACATATGTATTCAATCATGGTAAGCATCCCTTCAATTCTTAGCACCTCCAATTTACTAAGCCAGTGTTTCAATTTCCCATTCCCATTTTCAGTCAGTCCGATACTTTGTAGGTAGTCAACTGCTTTGCATATGACGCTGTCTGGCCCACAGTGCAGGGCACTCTAATAAAATTGATTCCTGGATTCAATAGTATATAAGCAGGAAGTCCAAACTGAAATAATACTATTTGCTCCAGGCCTCTATGGTGTTAAAGGAATTTGCTTCAGCTGTCAGATGTGCAAACCCAAATCCAGAATGAATATCCATCCCAGTGAAGACCCACTGTGTCTACTACAAAGTTGGGAATCCACTTGCCAGCTATAGACAAGCCCAGATCACCTTGGTATGAGGCCCATGGCTGTATCTCATCTCTGATGTTCCTGTTGACAAATAGAGCAATTTTTAGTCACTGTTCAAGCTGCTAAGGGAGACATTTGGATACGTCCCAACCCTTGTAATTGTTGCCTTGCTCAAATGCTTCCATGGCTGCTCAGAGCTCAATTTGCATACCTAAAAGGCCACTTCCAAAGTGCACTGGAGGACATTTACTTATTGGTCCCAGTCTCCTCAGAAATAAGAAGGGGGCTTTTTAATGGGCATAGATGTGAGTCCCACTTTAATTCCCCCTTCAAGTCCACAGATTTTTCTATAACAGAGCACCAGACCTGATGTTCCTTTTATCTTCCGGTCATCTAAGGCCCATTTTCCAAATCACATTGCCAGTCTGCCAGCTCCTAGTTCAAATTCCTAGCTGTTGCCGCTGGGTGGCAGTCACAGGCCTTTACCAGAAGCTCCAGTCAGCATAGCTGCAAGTAGCAGAAACTTCCCAAATCATCTCATTCAGTTCTCTTTCATCTACAGTTCACCTCCTGGATCCATCAGCTTTTCTATAAGAATATAGAATTTCTATAAGAATGTAGAATATTCTTTTCTATAAGAATATAGGCCATCCTGCACTATGACAAAAGGGATTCATGGGCACTAATATTACCACATATAACAGATCTGCAATTAAGGCCAAATTTTATACCCGCCAGGGTATCTGCTATTGTTTTAAATTACGACTTAAGTTATTTCATTCTAGCAATTTGTGATGCAGCATGCCTAAAAACAAGGGAAGAAGGAAACTGCACAAAATCCCTTGCCCAGTGATTTTGATAAGGAAAATGTCCTCAGACATCACGTCCATTGCAGTGATACTTTGATCAGTGTAGGGCAACACCGTGCACATTTTCACCCATAAATTTCCACTTTAAGCCATACAGTCACTTGCTCACCTTCATTAATTGCAACACCACAACATTCTAATTTAACTACATCGCCCTTTAACACTTCATTCACAGGTTTAAGTACCAATGTTCAGCAATCCTGATAAAGTTTCTATGCTATGCATGAGCCATTTGACCTACACCAATGTAAATAGCTAGGGGTCCCTGGCTGAGGGTTTTTCCAGGAGACCTGGGCTGTCTCATTGCATTGCACTTTTGACATTGGTATAGGCCCTGAAGAGATTTTAGACTCTTCTTTCGTGTAATACTCAAATTTTTAATCCATAACATTTTTACTAGGATAAATTTACTAGGATGAACTTACTGGGATAAATTTTCTAGGATACATTGAGTGAAATGGTCTCATTCATTTTATCATCTGAGTTGGTATTATAGCTTTTATAATCTTTTATAGCAATTCATTAACATTGTAGTGACTACTCCATCTATCTCCTCCTTTTTCATGCCATTTTTTAATCTGCCATAAAATATTTCCACCTGGTTCAATTGTCCCAAAGTTTATTCCAACTTTTGCATTCTTGTTGTTTCATTTCTTCTGAATAATCCTGCTCTTTTTCTTGTCATTAAAAACCCTATTTGAGGGAGCTGAGTAAAGAGATCAGCTGCAATTTCCCTCACAACTTTTTGTCCCCCCAACCAATGTAGGCACCCAAGGAGTCCATGAAGTTGCAACTCTTGTTATTATAACATCAACCCTCACCTAGGCCAGTTGTAGCAGAGGTTCCCAACCTTTTTGGCATCAGAAACTGGCTGCATGGAAGGCAATTTTTCCACGAACCAGCGAGGGTGGAGTGTGTTTAGGGGGAACTGTTTCACTTCAGATCATTAGGCATTAGATTCTCATAAAGAGCATGCAACCTGGATCACTCACATGCGCAGTTCACAGTAGGGTTTGCACTCTGGTGAAGCTCTAGTGTCCCTGCTGATCTGACAGGAGGTGGGGCTCAAGCGGTAATGCTGGCTCACCCGCTGCTTACCTCCTGCTGTGCAGCCTGGGTTCTAGCAGGCCATGGACTGCTCCGTGGCCCAGGGGTTGGGAAACCCTGAGTCATAGCATTAAGTTATGCATCACCACATAACCAATATGAAGTTACCTGCATCCTTAGCATTTCAGTAGCTTCAGGGTACTCCACTTAATATCTAAGAGAGGAGTGAGACAACTCTCCTTTTCAGGGCATGAATCACATAGTCTTCTTGCCTTTATGCAACTTAACAGAGTGGGACCATAATTCTGTAAAAGCTGCAAGCCAATTTAGGATCCTGAGTAAGATCCAACATGAAGTTACCCAGGATCCCCCAAACTCAATTTCCATTGCAAAAGCAATTGTGAAAAGAGCTGCAAAATGAACCTAAAAAGTAGATTAACTCTTTTATAATGGACCAGACTCCAATCAAAGCAAATATCTGACTAGTTCCCTGTGGACACTCCATTCCTCCCAGGCAGACACAGGACCTAACACCGAGGCTCTTGCAGCTTCACTCTCCCTCTCTGGGATCGTCACTTTAGCTAGAACAGATGGGAGCAGCCAAGACACCTATTCTTGGCTGACTTCTCCTCAGTGTAAACCTTTTTTGTTACCCATTTAGCTACCTCCCCTGGCCCTGGTCCACAAATGCTTTTCTACCCATCTGTGGACAGAATATTTTTGTGACCTCAGCCTAGGAGTGGGCGGTCAGAAGCCAGCAGAAACCAATGCTTTCATCCCCCCAACCTTAGCTCATCTTTCCTTCTCCTAAGCAATGCCTTAGCTGTTACCTAAATTACAGAATGGGAAGGGTCATTTCAAATGTCCGGTCTGGGTCACTCACTGTATAGTGTTCCCCAGTTTGGGTATTTTGAAAAGTACTTGCCATAGAGTATACTCATCTGCGGTTTTATTTAAAGGCAAAAGTTTCAAGGCAGCAGGAGAAAGGAAATACAGACATGCATGGGAGGTTGGAGAGACATCGGGAGGCACAAACTCCTCAGGGCCCTACCTTTGTAAACTAGGGATGGGCTGAGCCTCTGGCTTGAACCAACTTCATGCAAGGAGTCCTGCTGAGAAATTCCCCCAAAGCTCTCACTAGCTCTCTAAGTAGTCATGCCAGGTCATCAAACCGGTTAGGCCAGTTGCAAACCCTCAGTAAAGAAACTGACCCTTGGGGGGGTCACTGGGGGAGTTCGGATTTTAAGTAGCACATCATAAACACCACTGCCATTATCTTAGTCAAAAGTAAAACCAGACATCCAGGAGTCCCCAAGGATAAAGATAAAGTATTTTCAGTCCATCTGTAAACCAGCTCTCTCTCCACATATCACCTCACCAGAAAACTCAAAGAATTTATTGCCTATATTATTATGTAATTACAGTATACCATTGTCAAAAATTAAGTAAAAATTTTAAAGTTATATGTATATGTTTTATCTCTCTAGCTCGTAAAGAGCATGCAACCTGGATCCCTCACATGCACAGTTCACAGTAGGGTTTGCACTCTGGTGAAGCTCTAGTGTCCCTAGCTATATCAAAAGCTTTGTGATGAATGAGTTCATTGATTCATTGCTAAGTTAATATTTACTGAATAAAAGAATGAAAATTACCATAATTAATAAATGAAAAGTAATGATACTGAAGTAAATGAGAAATAGGTCACTACTAATCCATGATACTGAAAGGGATTTTCTAACCACCACAAGAGAGATGCCACCAGCCAGGTTGTGCCTGGGAAAATATATATCAAAATTTCTACATGGGTTTCACATCACTTAAATATGGACTCAAACTTAAATTATTAGTCAGTGTAATAATCTACGTCCTATGCAGTTCAACAAAGCAAGAAAGAATGATAAAATGATTGAAAAGGAAGAAATACATTTTCTTCTATGAATAGACAATTTTCTATATAGAAAATTCAAGAGTATTATATATGAAGAGCTGAGATAGTGACAATATTTTTTTTCTATTTTTTTCCACTTGCATGGTGATGATGATACAGGTATTTATTTTTGTTACTTGTTATATGGGACATTTATGCTTTCTTCACTTTTTGAATATATGCCATATTTCACAAACTTGAAAAAATTTTTTAAATTCATGAGAATTGACAAACCATGGGAAATAAAATATTTCAAAAAACTAAGAAATTAAAATCAGTAATGCCCCTATGTAGCAGCAATAACAAATCAGAAGTTTTGATTAAAAGAGATAAAGTGAATCTTAGTTTATGTGAAAGTATTTTAGGGTTTGTGAGGGGGTTGTTGGAGAGATCCGGGATGGATGACTCCGTGTCAAGACAGTAAATTGGAGACCCATATGCCCTCTGGGTTGAGTAGAGGCAGACCAGCTATGCCTCTAATAGCTGGAAGTCATATCTACTATGTTGGAACTATCAATATGAGAAATTAAATACTTTTTTCCACTAAGGTCTATTGCCCAGTCCCAAGGTTAGACTTCCTCTCCTAAATATTGCTGACCACACTAGGAAAATCTTTCCTCTCATTAGCCAGTGTAATTGTCTAAATGGCCTACATTTATCAAACATAGTATTCTTCTCTACACAAATAGGATCAAGAAATAGATTTGTTTAAATTTAAGATATTTTCCCAGCCTTCTGTACAGCCTCACTAAGAGACACATGCAATGGAGCCATCTTTTCTTTCACTTTCTATTTTTATTCTTTTTGATCAAGATATCAGGCCTTGGTCTAACTGTCTAGCTTAGACTTCAGTTACACATGCTAATTCAATTTTAGTAAATGCATAGTAACAGTATGAAGTCATGTAAAACTGCCTTTGTGAGAAAAAGATAGATTGTTTAAATGGGTTTTCTGTGAATGCTGACATTTCATTTTCTATTGTGAATTAATTATATGTACTTGTACCTGGGGTGTGATCTATTCTGTTATGTCCCTTGCTCTTTGAAGACAGAGATTTTATCAAATCATCTTTGGAGTTCTTACTACACCTCGTCAAGCATTTTGACCATTCTAAGCATTAAAAAAAAGTGTGCTAACTTTGTTTTCCTCGTGCTAGCATTCAGCTATTCATTTATTCAAAATAAACACCTACAATCTGAAATAAGTATAATGGGAAAACTTGAACGTTCTATTTTTCTCCCCACATTTTCCAGTTGGTTAAACAATTAATAGACACGATATGTAATGTTACTCTATCATTTTTCGGAATAGGAGCAAGACTTGGTTCCCTTTAAACTCTATGCTTCCCACATCATCTCTTAAAAGTGGAAAATAAATAGTGCTCCTGTTTGGCTAAACAGAGCCAGGAGAACAGTTCAAATTGGACTTGAACGAGAACACATCCAAGAATCACAATATCCTATATATTTGTTTATCATTTGAAGTTACCAAAGGTCTTTCATATTTAACCCTCATTGAAACCCTTCAAGACAGGTAGTCATAGAAGATATTAGCCTCATTTCACAGATAAGGAAGCATGTTTCAGTAATGCTACATTATTTGTTCAAGTCACTTACAAACTCAGTGAAGTCAAGCTTGAATCCAGGACTTTGAAGTCCTCTGTATACACTTTCTACTGTATGACACACATACACAGATTTAGGACTTAGGACTTAGGACCCCATAAAAAAGAACAAGTAATCAAGAGGTAAGCATTTTGCTTCAAAATGCAAAGCAGCTAATTTGTTGTAAATAACATTATAAATCAAATATCAAATTATGGCTTAAAGAAAATAAAGTGGAAATATAAGCAATATGGTCTTTTTGTCAATAAAATTTTTTTGGTTTTTTTTTTTCTTTTCCTACATTGCTTATTCTCAGCTAAGGTAATCAAAGTAATTTTAGGTTTATTATTTTAGCCGCCTCTGTCAGTTCAAAGTATTGTGAGACTAGACCTATACATATAGTTTTATAAAGCTACCATTTGTTGAGTGCCAGGCACTATTCTAAGTGTTTTATAAAGATGATTTTTATTAATCTTCATAATGATGTTATGATAGAGGTAAATATTATTACTTCTCTATTATAGACAAGAAATCTCAGGCTTAAAGAGGTTTAAAACTTCTCTAAAGACACATGAACAACAAATGTCAGAGCTAAGATTTGAACCTGGGTTAACCTTGACTACAAAGCCTGGGACCCCACTCTGCTAATTTTGTCCTCCCCCTACGTAAGGGGGATCAGGAAATGGAATAAATTTTGGAAACTATCCATGTGATTTGAATTCTTATGTTAGTCAAGGCTCAATCACGGAATCAGAATCACTAGGATATAGATAGATTTGTTGCAGGGACTTGACCTTATGCCATTGTGGGTCTGGATTAGACATCTCCATAAGGTTGTTGTGTTTGTGTCTAATGTGGGAGTCTGAAGATCACAGAACAGGTAGTTGGGAAGGAAAGTTGTATATGAGATGAGTGACAGCAAGATCAAGTGGGAACACTCATGCACAATCGGAAAGACAGTGTGAAACCCACATCAGTTCTTGTTGCCACTGAACTTGATGATGAGGATATCCTGCAGAAGCTGGGGTCCTTTGTCACAGGACTAAACACACACACACTTGGCCTAGGCTTTGAACAAATGGAGAGGATTGTGGCAAAGCGGAGCCATTGCGAGCCTGTCTGCTGCCTCATGCCTGTGAGGTGAGTCAGCAGATCAGAAGCAATGCCTGCCATCTATGAAATGGCTGCTTCGCGTCCGTCCTCCAGATCTCCCACAAGAATCTCTCTTCCGGTCAATGCTAGCTGGAAACATATAGGAAAGAAAATGCTGGGAAATCTATATGTTGGTGCAAAAGTAATTGTGGCTTTTGCCATTAATTTAATGGAAAAACACAATTACTTTTGCACCAACCTAATAATTTAGCCCACCCAAGTTGACCTGCCACAGAGCCACCGTAATTCTCTTGCTTTATAGACATGAAAAGTCAGTCTTGGATGGGTTGTGCAACATGGCTAAGATTTCTCAAGAAGTTGAGAGTAAAGAAATCCTATTAACTTTCCAGGTACTCTTCCTTTCACTATAAACAGGGTAACACGCAAGTTTCATTTTACTTGCCAAACATATAGATTGGTGGTAGCTGCTTGAAACACTGGGTTGTGAAAAATTCTGAGAATAAGAGTTTCTTTATTGATCAGTGATGTCTGCTGTAGGCCCAGAAGGGAGAAGCCATGATACATGTGCCACAGTGGGCCAAGTGACCCTGTACTATTTTGCTTCTCTTCAGAGAAGAAGGTTAGCTTTAATGGGGAGTTGTTTTTTGGTTTGTTTTTAATGAGACAGGGGCTCACTCGGTTGCCCAGGCCAGAGTGCAGTGACGTGATCATGACTCCCCGCAGCCTTGAACTCCTAGGCTAAGTAATTCTCTTGTCTCAGCCTCCCAAACAGCTGGGACTACAGGCACACTCTGCCATGGCCAGATCATTTTTTAAAGTTTTGTAGAGATGGTGTCTTGCTTTGTTCCTCAGGCTGGTCTCCATCTCCTGGCTTCAAGTCATCCTCCTGCCTCAGCCTCCTAAAGTGCCGGGATTACAGTTGTGAACCACCACACCCAGCCAGAAAAGATTTTAAGGGGTGTGATAAATAAATCAATTATAGCACCATATGTACTAATTAAAGGACATAAAATTGGGGGCAAGGAACTCTCTAAATTTACAGAATAGCTATCAAGAAGATAATCACATGCTTTCACAAAACACCCCTGTTGAAGCTAGCACATAGGGCTAAATGGCCATATCTAATATTTTCTGGACACAGAGAGGTGAATGGATTTTTCTAATATTCACTTTCTTATTAACAATCTGCTTAGAAACGCATACCAGTTTTCACTTACAAACATTCTTTTTGACATGGAAATTATGAACATAAAATTGTTGCTATTCTGCAATCAACTATTCATACTAAGTGAACTAATCAGGTCTTAATTGGTGCTGGTCTGAAAGTTGGATTTTCCATTGTAGCAGCATCCAGTGAGGAATTTAAAAAATTTTCTCCCATTTGGATAGTGTATATTCTAAAAAGCTTACATAGAGCTTGCTGAGTTCTATCAACAAACAAACATTTATCTTTTCTATGCACATGCTTTATCTCACTTACTCCTCTCATTGACACCGTGAAGCAGGTATAGTTCCTATTTTCACAGATGAAGAAATTCAGGTTCACATATGTGAAACTGCTATGGCCACATAGCTGGTAAGTGACAGTGTCATAATTCCAACCCAGATTTGTTGACTGCAAAGCTTATTTACTCTTTAATGGCTCTTCAACTATGCATGCTGATCCCAGACAGGGGAGAACGCCCTCATTCTGGGGCAGACTTAGGAAGCAGGTACAGGAATTCTGCTTTCTGTCTGGGGCCTCCATTCATTGACTGCTCTGCCATTCATCTTCCTGCATGCTTGCGTGAAGTACTTAATGCTGCCCCCTTCCTTGATAGGGGAAGTTTGTATTTGTCTAAATCTCTCTTTCCACTCTCTTATCACACACACGCACACCACCACCACCACCACCACTGAAAGATAGGAATGGGAGTATAGTGTAGGATGATGGTGGAATGTTTTTAAATTTTCAGCGAAGTTCTATCCTGAAGTATGTGCATCTATCTTTATATTTGCCTTAGCTTCACTAGAATAGGTGCCCTGTTAAAGCAGACGGTGAAAATAGGACCTTTCTGCACTGAATATATTATACGTTGACAACTATAGATGTTTAGGATAGGTGGGAAATTGAGATATGTTCCTTGCAGATACGCCAAAGGGAAGATAATCACAAGGATTTGCAAAGGGCACTAACATTTTCAGTTAGTACTTGACACTGTAAATCTTAATCTTCGCAACTACGTTCTAAGACTGGTCTCATCTTTCTGACTGTATTAAAGAAGAAGATGAGGTTCAGAAAACTGCAGGAAGCTTCTTGAGGCTCTAAAGCTAGTAAGAACTAATTATTGTTATTCTCACAAAGCTCCTGCTTATTGTGAAATAAAAACATTCTTCTTAGTTCATCCTTTGGGGCCCCAAAAGAAGTCTAAATTTTGTGCAATAAATAAATCTTTAAGGATAGAAAAGTGGGTCTAAACTAAAAGGTAGAATTTCCTCTTTAGGATAATTGTCGTATTTACAACTGAGCAATGGACATTCATCAGGGGTTTCAGTAGACATGTCTGTACAATGAACCTATTTCTCCAGGGCAATCCCGTTTTACTCATCAGTGGCAACATCCATATTAACAGTAGCTGCTATGAACTGAAAATTAGCTGAGTGCTCCTCAGTAAATAAAGAAGTGCATATTTTTCCCTGAAATTGTATATCTGAGAAGAATGAGGGTTAGAGTAGGTCAGTAAATTTCCTAAAGTTATACAATAAGTAAGGGACAGAGCCGGGGTTTGAATGTAGTCAGTCTGACACTGACACCACTATAAAGCACTGCATTCTATAGTCCACCAGTTAAAAAAAAAAAAAAAAAAAAAAAAAAAAAAAAAAAAAGACCAGGTCCAAAAGAAGTAGGCTGGGAAAGGGGAGGAAAAGTAAAAAGAAAGCCAGAAAGCCTTCACCAAAAACTCAATGGCTCCCCCACTCTCCGCACTGCTATTTTCAGCAGCTGGCAATAAAATGCAGTTAATAACAACAAAACTCCCAAAACTTGTTTTTGAAAAGTACTTTTTGTACTGTACAATTTTTTTATAGACGATTTTTGGAGCAATTTTAGGTTTATAGCAAAATTGAGCTGAAAGTACAGGGAGTTCTCCTATACATGGCCCCTGTACCCATTCACGCACAATCTCACTCACTCACTATTGACATCCCCCACCAGAGGGGTACATTTGTCATAATAGATGAACTTACACTGACACATTATTATCATCCAAAGTCCATAGTTTACATTAGGATTCACTCTTGTTGTATATTCTATGAATTTTCATAACTGTGGGATGACATGAATCCACCATTGCAGTATCTTACAGCCTAGTTTCACTGCCCTAAAAGTTCTCCATGTTCTGCCTCTTCAGCCATCCCTCCCTGTGACCCCTGGAAACCACTGATCCTTTTTTATCATCTCCATAGATGATGCCTTTTGACTTTTCCAGAATGTCATGTTGGTGGAATCATACAGTATATAGACTTTTCAATTTGGCTTCTTTTGCTTAGTAATATATACTTAACTTTTCACCATGCCATCTAATGGCTTGATAGCTCATATCTTTTTAGCATTGAATAACATTCCATATTGGGATGTACGACAGTTTATCCACCTATCCACTGAAGTATATCTTGATCGCATCCAAATTGGGCTGATTATGAATATAGCTGCTATACACATCTGTGCGCAAGTTTTTATATGAACATAACTTTCCAATTCATTAAGGCAAATATCAAGGAGGGCAATTGCCAGATCACATGGTAAGATTATGTTCAGTTTTCTAAGAAACTATCAAACTGTCTTCCAAAGTGGCTAACCATTTTGTATTTATTTCTGCCACAAGGAATGAGTTCCTGTTGCTCCACATCCTGTTTTGCATTTTGGCCCTTTTAATAGTTGTGTAGCGGCATTTCGTTGTTGTTTTACTTGGATTTGTAATTCCTTAAGGACATGTGATGTTGAACATGTTTGCACATGCTTACTTGCCACCTGTATATATTCTTTACTGAAGTATATGTTCAGCTCTTTTGCCCATTTTTAATCAGGTCATGTGTTTTCTTACTGTTGCATTTTAAGAGTTGTTTACATATTTTGGATAGTAGTCCTTTACCAGATGTGTCTTTTCTAAATGTTTTCTGCCAGTTTTTTTTAACCAATCCTGCAAAGCGTATTATTATAACTTTATAGTCTTAGAGTTGTGTAGTATCAGTCCTCCAACTTTGTTCGCCTTTAATATGAGTTGAAGTTTTTGACTCTTTGTATAAACTTTAAAGCTAGTTTTAAAATAACTTGCTGGGATATTGAGTTGGATTGCACTGAATCTATGGATCAAGTTGGAAAGAACTGAGATCTTTACAATACAGCATGGAATATCTATCTATTAACATGGAATCTCTATGTATGTAGTTCTTTTAAAATTTCTTTCATCAGAATTTTGTAGTTTTCCTCATGTAAATTGTATACATACTTTTATTGTGCTAGATCTATACCTAAGTATTTATCTTTGGGAGTGCTAATGTAAATGGTAATGTGTTTTTAACTTAAAATTCAAATCATTTGCTGACAGTATATAGGAAAGGAACTGACTTTTGTATATTAACTTTGCATTCTGCAATCAAGTCAACAGCAAAGAAAGTTTTATTTCTTCCTTCCCAGTCTGTATATTTTTTATTTCCTTTCCTTGTCTTATTTCATGTGCTAGGACTGCCAGTATAATATTGAAAAGCAGTGTTAAGAGGGGACATAGGCCAGGCATGGTAGCTCACGCCTTTAATCCCAGCATTTTGGTAGGCTGAGCCAGGCAGATCACGTGGTCAGGAGTTCGAGACAGGCCTGGCCAATATGGTGAAACCCCATCTCTAATAAAAATACAAAAATTAGCCAGGCATGGTGGCATGCACCTGTAGTCCAAGCTACTTGGGAGGCTGAGGCAGGAGAATTGCTTGAACCCAGGAGGTGGAGATTGCAGTGAGCCAAGGTTGCACCACTGCACTCCAGCCTGGGTGACAGAGCAAGACTCCATCTCGGAAAAAAAAAAAAAAAAAAAGAGGAGACATACTTGCTTTATTCCTGATATTAGTGAAAAAGCTTCAGATTTTTCATCATTAAATATGATGTTAGCCGTTTGTTGGAGATGTTCTTTACAGATCAAATTGAAGAAGTTCCCCTTTACTCCTAGTTCGTAGGGAGCTTTCATCATGAATGAGTGTTGAATCTTGTCAGAAGTTTTTTTCTGTACATATTGATATGATCATGTGATTTTTTTCTTCAGCCTGTTGATGTCGTGGATTACATCGATTTTCAAGTGTTGATCTAGTCACGTACATGAGATAAATCTCATTTAGTAATGGTATGTATCTCTTTTTATACATTGTTAAATTTACTAATATTTTGTTGATGATTTTTGCCTTTATCTTCATGACACATATCGAACTGCCATTTTCTTTTCTTGAAATGCCTTTGTCTAGTTTTGGGATTAGGGTAATGCTGGCTTCATAGAATAAGTTAGGATGTATTCCCTCTGCTTCTATCTTTTGGAAGAGATTGTAAAAAATTGATCTAGAGTCTATCATAAATGTTTGGTAGAATTCACTGGTGAAAACACTTGGACCTAGTACTTTATGTTTGGAAAGTTACTAGTTATTCAACTTCTTTGATAGACACAGATGGTAAATTTTTCTTATGTGAGAAATAATATGATCTTTTGGAAGATTGTCTTCCAAAGAGTTGGTTTATTTCATCTGATTATCAAATGTTTGGGCATAGAGTTGTTCACAGTGTTCCTTAATCATTCTTTTAATGTCCATGGGACCTGTAGTGATTTCCCCTCTTTCATTTCTAACCTTAATTTTTATCCTCTCTTTTTTCTTAGGCAGATAAAGGCTTATCAATCTTACTGATCTTTTCAAAGAGCTGGCTTTTGATTACATTAATTTCTCTACTGATTTCCTGTGTTCCATTTCATTTATTTCTGCTCTGATTGTTATTATTTATTTTCTTCTGCTTACTTTGGATTTAAGCTGCTCTTCTTTTTCAAGTTTTCTAAAATGGAAGCTTATTGATTTTAGCTATTTCTTATTTTCTAATATATGCATTCCATTCTACAAATTTTTCTGTACAAACTACTTTTGCTATATCCCCTTTGATACGTTATATTTTCATTTTCATTTAGCTCAAAATCTTTTCAAAACTCTCTTGAGATTTCTTTTCTGATCCATGTGTTGTTTAGATATGTGTTTAATCTCTTAGTATTTGGGGATTTATTTTAGCTATCTTTCTGTTAGTTATTTCTTGTATAATTCTATTGTGGTCTTAGCATACACTGTATAATTTCTACTCTTTTAAATTTGTTAACATGTGTTTTATGGTCCCAAATGTTTATCTTGGTAAAAGTTTTATGTGAGCTTTAGAAGACTGATTCTGTTTTTGTTGTTGTTGTTGAAAAAAGTCGTTTGTGAATTATATACAGTTAATGTCAATTATATTCAGCAGATGTCAAATATATCCAGTTGGTTGATGGAGTCATTGAATTCAGCTATGTTCTGATTTTCTGCTTGCTGGATTTGTACATTTTGAATAAAGGTGTGTTGAGTCTCCAATCATAATCATGAATTAATCTATTTCTCCTCACAGTTCTATTAATTTTTACCTCACATATTTTGATGTTCTGTCATTAGGCACATAAGCAGCAAAAATGGGTATGTCTTCCTGGAGAATTGACTGCAATATTGTTTTGTAATGCCTTTCCCTATTCCTGATAACAGTCCTTGCTCTGAAGTCCATTTTCTTTGAAATTTATATAGCTACATTTTTTAAATTAGCATGCTATAACCTTCTCCATCCTTTTATTTTTGATCTACATGTGTCTTATTTTAAATGGATTTCTTATGAACAACATATAATCGGGTCTTTTTTCTTCTAACCCACTCTGACAATATTCATCTTTAAATTGGTGCTTTTAGACTATTGACATTCAAAGTGATTATCAATATAGTAAGATCTACATTATTCTATATGATTTTATTTTTTCTCTTTCCTTAGCATATTATACTATGTTTTATAATTTCTTTCAGGGGTTGCTTGAGTGGTTACATTTCACTAGATAATCCAAGTCTACTTTCAAATACAGCATGCCTGCAAATGTGCCTCTGTGCAAAGTTTTGGTATTTATCCTGGTTGGTGTTTTCTGAACTTCCCAGGTCCGTGGTTTGTTGTATGACATTAATTTGTGGAAATTCTCCGTCATTATTGCTTCAAATAGTGCTTCTGTTTCTTTTCCTCTTTATTCTCCCCTGGTATTCCATTTTGAGTATTTCGTAGTTATTCCACTGTTCTTGGAATTCTGTTCCTTTTTTGTCCTGGTTTTCTCTTTGCTTTTCAATTTTGAAGGTTTTTATTGACATATCCTCAAGCTAAGAGTTTCTTTCCTCAGCTATGTCCAATCTACTAGTGAGTTCATCAAAGGCATTTTTCATTCTGTTATAATGTTTTGATTCTTAACATTTCTTTTTGACTCTTTCTTAGAATATCTGTCTCTCTGCTTACATTACCCATCTCTTCTTACATGTTGTCTACTTTTTTCATTAGAGACCTTAGCATATTAATCCTTGTTGGTTTTTTTTTTTACTTTTTTTTATTATTATTATACTTTAAAGTTTTAGGATACATGTGCACATTGTGCAGGTTAGTTACCTATGTATACATGTGCCATGCTGGTGTGCTGCACCCACTAACCATGGTTCCAACATCCTTGCCGTATCTGGTTCTGATGTTTGCTCTGTTTTTTGTTTTTTTTTTTTTCATTTTGGTGTGCCTTGTAATTTCTTTTTGATAGAAGACATGATGCACTAGCTAAACAGAACTGTGATAAATAAGCCTTTAGTAATGTGATGTATTATGTAGGGGAGGGGGAGCATTTTATACTCCTATGATTAAGTCTCAGTCTTTTAGGAAGCCTGTGCCTTGGACCAGAAACTTCACTAATGCTTTTCAGTTTGTTTGGGATTTCCACCCCCCCACCCCCACCTTCTTAGGTGGTCCAGGAAGGATAGAGAAGTTAGGCATTTTCCTTCCCCAGGTAAGTTATGCTCTAATAAAGCCCCAATGGGTTAGTTTTTCTTGAAGGCAGGCCTAGTGACAGAGAGCAGAGTGCTCTGCTGCATTTCAGGAATGGCTTCTTCCCCTAGACCTCTGCTGGAACAGCCTTAGGGAATTTTCAACAATCTGCACTGTGAGAAGCTAGCAGAGCTCCCGGAACAAAAACTCATAAAAGTGTGGGACCCCCTACAATAGGATCTCCCTGGAAGTTTTCAGGAAAAACTTCTCCATACTGCACCTCCAGCAATTTCAACTACAGTTCAGATACTCCCATGCCAGCATTGGTTCTGGGGTGGGTCCTGCAGGTGTGTGTCAGCTCCAGTAAGCTGTGATTCTCTGGGTATGCTTATCTGTCTCTCCATTTCTGAGGGCAGCAAGTTTACCCTGTGACTTCAGTGCTCTGATGAATATCAGAAGAGTTACTACTTTTTCAGCTTTTTACTTATTGTTGGGATAGAGTGGCAGCTTCTAAGCTCCTTCTCTGATAGCCCAGAAACCAGAAGTCTTTTAACCCTTCTTTTCCTTGCAAACAGTTTGGTACATCCATGTTGTAAACCAGACAAAGGCAGAAAAGACAGAAGAATGAGGATCTTATAATACCAGTTACTCTAATCTGGGTTAAGAATATAGCAAGAGTAATTGTTTTACTAAGGGAAATAACTCGTAAAAAGATCAGATGTTTGAGATATTCTTGGTGACAGTAGCATTACTATTTTAGACTGATAGATTTACAGAGTGGCCTTTCTGCTTTTTATTTTTAACTATATTCATTTTATTTGATCTTGCACTTGAACATGTGATACAAGTAAGTAGTAGGTAATTTGCTCAGAAGGCCCTAAATGCCACACTTGAACATTAGGTGATTAAACATATAAAACATTGCCATATATTAGCTTAATGAATATATGTAATTTTATTAAAATATAAGAGCTACAACAAAGTAAGCAACAGATTGGGACAAAGAAACTAACACTTAGGTACAATTTGGCCCTATTATAATTAATCTTTAAATGCCATCATCTCACACCACACCTCCAATTTTTACTTCAAAGTGTCACTCATCAGTCCTTCCATCAGCACAGTTGGTTTGAGGTCAAAACACAGCTCCTTGCCTCTATGGCACCCCGACAGACTTAACTTTATAGCCATAAACTATGAAAACTGCTGCTATACAGCTATACACTACTGCTTCTTAAAAATAGTTTTTATTTAAGCATTTTGTTTTGTTGTTCTTGTTGTTGTTAAAAATGAGTTTCTGGGACTTGACACATTGTAAAAGGCCTTGTAACTGAAAATTGTAATATACTGCAACCATTTTCAGTTATTCAAATATGCTTCCTTTCAGTTATTTAAATACACTAAGCATGTTCACACCATAGGCTTCTGTGCATGCTGTTCTCTGCTTAGAAAACTCTTCCTCCAGATATTCACAAATTCATGTCCTCACTTTATTTAGATCTTTAGTCAACTATCAGAAAATCTCAGAGAACTTCCCTAACCCCTGTCTAATATCGAAGCTGCAGTCACTTTGTTTCCTTGAACTGTATTATTTGTCTTCATAGAAACTGACTGGGAAAACACTGATTGGTTATCTGTATATTGTCTGTCTACTCCACTAGAATGGGGTCTTAGTTTCTTTTCTGTAGGGCTGTATGCCCATTGCCTAACAGAATGTGCTTGACATGGAGAAGATGCATGTAAAGCTTTGCAGAATGAACAGATGCTTTTTCCAAACAAATTCGTTCCCAGTGTGTATGCTGAGATAATGTCACATCATCTTTCTCCTTGTGTGAATTCTAGGTAAGAGAAGGGTGTGCCCGTTCTTTTATTCTTAGTTCAACACTTGGTTGTTGGTGTACCGGAGTCCACCTTCAGTGGTGGAATCCTGTCAAAAGCTGCTGTGTGGCTTCTTCGGGAGGCTCAAACTCTACTCCAGAGTTATTACTGGTATCTACAAATTTGTACATAATCCATAATCCATTGATATAATTATATCTAATCAATATAACAGCTTCAGTAATATGAATAGGCATACCATTGAAATTTATTAATATCTAAATATTCATAATCAAATGAAGGTAAATATTCTAGCTATAACTTGGAATGAAACCCTTTTATATGCTATATTTTAAGATTCTATCAGTTGAATGAAATATAAATATATCTATGTATTATTGCAAGAAAAATGCTTCTATAATTAATGACTGAAAGCTGTTAACTTTATATATAAAAACAAATATTAAAAACTTTCAAGTAGTTGAATAGAGTAATATATTTATAGTTAATTTGAGAATACTAGACAGATTATGCAGCACTATCTAACTGTATGGAAAACATAGTCCTAATATAAAACAACAATATTTAAAAATCTATATAATAGAAATTGTAAAAAGGAAAAAATCTTTATAATTCTAGTAATTTATAGAGTAATTCTATCCTCGCATTCCTAATAGTATATGAAGCAATCCTTACTAATTTTTAGATAATTCCACCTATACTGCAAAGCTTATTTAAAAGCATCCTACTCATGAATTTTCATATCTATAAGGATGGATTAAAAGCCACATTTCCAGGAAAAGAAAAATTTCCAAAATCGTGTACAAAACATTCACACTAAATTACTTTGATTCAAAGCAATAAACACTATAAATAAATAGTCTGAAGAAGGAAAAATTAGAAACAAATAAAGGTATCCCAAGCACCATTATTTTTCACTAAGTAAATTTCAAAACTATTACAAAAGTATTTTAATAATATTTGTCTTATAGTTCTGACTCTAGAAGAAAATATTGAAGGTTTGACAGCTCAGTGGAGTAAGAATGATTTCCACTATATGTCTGCTTTGCTTGCTTGCTCAGAGAATTCTGTGTCCCACATAAACTAACACAGTGAATTTCATTGAAGAAATTCATATAAAATGGAAAATAAAACAATGTTATGCAACCGATGTTGAAAATGGCACAGATGTGGTCTAAGCTTTAAGTAATTAAGAAGCCAAAAGCATACATTGTTTTGTTAACACCAATTAATTGTATATTCAGAAAGAAATTGTAGTACAAGATAATGTTAAAAAAAAAAAAATCCATTGCCTTATCAGGAATGTACTGGGAATTTTGCATTTTTTTCTAGCTGAAGACAAACTACATAATATATAAGAGATTTGAGTACTGCCTTATCAAATACCTATGCAAGATATTCAAATGTGGTAAAATTGCAATTACAGGTCAAAAAGACTTCTTGAATAAAATAAATATTTAATAATTTATTTACAGACAACCCACAACCAACCAGCGTGACCTATTTCATCAATAGTTTCTTACAGAAAATGAAGTGAGTGTGATGGGCACTGCTGAAGAAGTAACCAAACAGAAGAATTTCAAAACTTTATCAATTTCTTATATTTTATCTGCTGCAAACATCCTTCTATTATTCCACTCAGGTAAAATGCTAAAATTAATATTCATTAAATGGAAACTACATTGGAGTTACAGACAATAAATCAAAGGCAATTTTTGTTATCTTGAAAACTAATTACATTGCTTTCATTTCTGCATTTCTGTGTCTGTAGTTTAAGGGCATTTTCCCCGCAGTGATTATGTAAAACAGCAAGTGAATGCAAAACAATCTTAGAAATAAAATATATAAGTGAAGGCAGTAATTCTAAGCCTGAAATCTGAAAATACTCAGAAAACATCCTTTTTTCAAATACTATATCAAACTTTAGTTTATAAGATTGCTTCAAAGAAATTGCATTATATAATACAAATCAAGTTCAGGGGTTATGTCAGGAGATGGGTGAAAAATGTAATAATTAGGTGATAGCATCGCTACAAGTTGGACACTGTCAGCAGCAGGAGTAAAAAATGATCTTGGTCATTCACCAGTTTCAGTTGAAAGTAAGCATGTATTTAGTAAGGCAAACATTCAGTACAGTGACAGAAGCAAGCTTGTAGATTAAGGTACTGGGAAATTAACATTCTTCCATTTCTATGCCAAACTTATAAAATTTGACTATTCAATTACAAATTAAAAATTGTAATAATGGTTAATTTGTTGGTATTCTAATTCCCATATCATGAAGTTTCTTCCCTGAAAGTAATATTTGCCTTTTGCTAAATATTGATTTTAAGCACTGGCCCATTAAGTCCAAAGATATGTTCAGAGGCCCTGCCAAGTATCAGGCTTTCGAGAGATAGTGAATAAAACCAAGAGGCTGTTCCCAACCTTCCAGTGCTTATATTCCAGTAGGAGATGATAGGAAAGAAACAAAGGTACACCAGATGTCTAAAATGCTATGAAGACAAAGCAAACAGGGTAAGGAATGGACAGGAGGAAGGTTATTCTCGGTAAGGTCGTCCTGGGGAAGGCCACAGAAATAAGTAGGAAAGAGCATTCCTGGCAAAGAGAACAGCCTATGCAAATGCCTAAGGCAAGAACATGACAGATATGTTTAAGAGAACCAAGGATGAACGTTAATACCAGAAGATAGAACAAAGGAGAAAGTGATGGGAGATAAAGTGGGAGAACAAATGGTAAAGACTTTGAAACTTTTAGCAAGTATAATGAGAAACCTTTGGGGGGATTTGGCAGTCAAGTGAAATAATTTGACTTATATTTTTAAAAACTGTCACTTAGAGAATAGACATCAGACATCATGGGAGTAGGGTATCTGAGTTGCAAGGACACAAATTTTACAGGATCCTTTCATAGGAATATCAGGAAGACTGTTGTAATTGTCCAGAGAAAATATCACAGTGCTTTAATCTGGAGAGGCAGCAGAGGAAGTAGTAGAATGTGGTCAAACTCAGGAGATACTGTGAATATAACCTAGCCACTGAACTTAAGCCCAATTCATGGTATGTAATAAAACGCAGCTTCATTTTCTCTCTCACCATTTACTTAAAGTGGATGGAAACTTGGTCATTCCCAAGATGTCCCCATAATCTATCCATCTCACTATTTATTTTGGGAATCTCTTCCACATTTGGGTCTTAGCAGACAGGCTTTGGGGTAGGGATGAGGCAGTAAAAAGCCCTGTCTACTTCCCCAGACCTTTCTTTCCTGAAGTGAATTCAGGAATTTGCAGGCTGATCAACGGGAAAGATAGGACCACCAAGCAGTAGTAACACACAGGAGCTCTGTTTGGGGGACAGTGGGTACTTTGATAATTTGGCCTGAGGAGGTAAATTCCCCCTCTGAAAGAGATCTTCCAGAGACAATGGGGGTGGGGTGGACTACACACAGGGGCAAGAGGTCAAGAGATCTCTCAGGGGAAAGAAATTGGAAAGGGAATTTAGTGTCCAGCATGATGGCGAGTCTCTAGGCCAGAGAATTCTGCAGCTTGAGGTATTTTTAAATCCTAGGGTTTGTGTAATCTATGGCTAGCAGATATTGGGTGCTGTTTTATGGAATATGCAAAGGTAGGTTCACAAATAGCTAAAAATATGCTCATTTGGGATATATTTAAAGCAACTGGATATACAAAAATTTGGATTTAGTTCTGACAGGTTTTTGAGCTCAGTGGTCCCAGCTTGGTGTGAAGAAATAAACAACACAGGGCTATTTTTGGCTCATGTATATAGCAACCCATCCCTTTGCCCCATGTTGTTTTACAATCCTAGTTGTGTATTACTTCATAAAGCCTGAGTTTGGATCCAGTGAGTGGTAAAGCATTCTAATGACCCTATAAGGTCACATGCTACAGTTTCAAATTCTGTTTTCGGGTAGTCTGCCCATTTAGTGGAAGAAAGTCTGGAGAATAGATTAGAAGAGGAAAAGACTTTGATTTATTTAATCTTTTAGTGAGTAGAGTATCATTATGACCCCTTTGGTACCTGTTCCTGGCTATCTGTAAAACTTAGTGAGTGTTACCTACAGAAAGATGTGTTAGCAGGTACACCTGCTTCTTCAGCCAGTAAGTAATCCAGGCATGAGATTTGGCCATGAGTTCCAGTCCCTGGGCTATTTAATTTTTGCGGGTTATCCTGAGATGTGGCTCTGTGAGCTTCTTTTAAATCCGGGTATGTATGGCCTCTCGAATTATTTTAGTATTAGCCATCATTGCCACTAACAACAACTTATGTTTTTCAGGACCACTCCCCAATCCAAGAAACAGCTGGATAGACTCGACCTATTTCAGACTCAGCCAGACTTGCCAAGTCATCATATTACATGCGGTCTGTTGACTGATAAGCCCGTTCTAATATCCCCAATTGATGGAGAGGATTTTTGGCCTCAGCTAAAATCTTCCGTTGACACTCTGCCCAGGCTGTTATGAGGTCTCATGTAGGCTGAATACTTGCCCAAGTCATAAAAGTCTACATCATCAAGGCATCTGTGGACCAAGACCAGAGCTTCATATGTGGGTCATTCCTACCTTCTGCACTAATTTTACAGGATCCTTTAATAGGAATACCATTTTTGCATCTAATACTATGACAGCTAATCGTTTAAATTTAGCTCCTGTTAGGTAGAGCTTACTCTCCACCAAACACAGTCTATGTGGCCAGGCTGCCCCTTTTCATTTGTTTCGCAGGCTAGCTCCTTAAAGAGAAACTGGGTCTCAGTGTAAAAGAAAGGCCATGTTTCCTCATCCAAGTGATAACCTCGTCCTCTTTATTGGCCCTCTCCTTCTGATTTTTCTGTCTTCATTACTTAGTGGGTGGTCACTGTCAAGTAGAGGGTAAATTATCTCAGTCCCAGTCCTGGTGACACTGTGCTAGAGAGCACAAATCCTCCTGCCCAGGTTCCTCTCCTCATAACATCTCCCCCAGGACTTCAGGCCCCTCCTCACTCTCTGCGTGGCCTCTTGGTAAGAAGCTGCCATGAACAAGGACCAGCACATGAGTTGTAGTTTGGAGCATGTGCTCACCAGGGCAGTGGCTACTTTAAAGTTCTGGAAGGAACAAAGATGTAAATTGCCTTGCTTTTATTCACTTGAAGTAACACTTAGGCTAGTTTGGCCCCAGGTTTGGGATCTCAATATCCCTCCAAGGAGAAACTATAATGACAACATCACACAGCATAACTGAGTATCACGGAGGTGTGCTAGCTGCTTCCAAAGGCTACTCCTCCAGCTAGGCTCAGGAGCCTGGCCTCAGCCTGATGTCTCTGCCTCACTGTCTCATTTACCTGCTGTAGTGGTCCCCAAGAATAAGGATATCCTCTTGTCTCAGCACACCCCAAATCACTGGCTAAAAGGAGCTCTTGCCACTGTAGGCTGTTACAGGGTCACAGATAGGCAACCCTTGGTCTAGAAGTGTGTACTTCTCCCTCTTTTCTATTTAGGCCTGCAGGTCTTACAACATCTAGCACCTTCCTGGTGGGGGACCCAGACAGGAGCACTAACCACTTTTCCTGGGCCTCTGACTCCAAAAGTCAATTCTAATGGTGGGGATTTACTCAGTTATTGGTGCTCCTGCTTGGCCAGGCTAATAAGGTATGGGGGTACATGTAAAATATTAAGAGTACAATACAGCATGGAGCAATGTTATACCAAACTAACGTATGGGCTTTCCAATGATTGTTTCACTAACTGGGTAGACCCCCATATGAATTCCTTGATCATAACCAAAAATCACCTCATCTTCATTGCCACTTGAAGCGAGTTCAGGATTTCAGGGCTGATAAAAAAAATATATATATGATAGCAAGGGGGCATTAACAAACAATGAGTTTTATTAGGGTGGTACCTTGACAGGTTTTCATGTGTATGTGTGGTGGGGCATGAGGGGCGCATATTACAGCATGAGACCTTCCAGTGACAATGGCACAGGACTACCATCCAGAAGGAAACTAGGGCAAGGGCAAGAGAGGGTAATTGGTGAGGGGCTTGTGTATCTACATGATGTCACAAAGCAGCAACATGAGAAGTCTCTAGGACCAAGATTTTCAAAGGACAGCAGTGGCTTAGAGTCTTTTATAACTCCAGAATTTGTCTTATCTAACTAAGGCTAGTAGATGTTGAGTGAAATGTTCTGGGATATGCAAAGCAGGCAGACTCTAACTCACTAAAAATATGCTTATTTGGACTACATTTTTAAGCAATTGAATGTGTAAAAATTTGAGTTTTCCTCTGGGCTAATGATACCATTATCATGAGCCTTGAGGAAATAAACAATCTACAGCCAATAGAAGATGTCTTTCGACTACTTACATAACATTCTCATCAGAAGCAAACACATAGGCTACTGGAAGACAGCAGCAAACATTTTTGACTCAGAGCACAGGCAAAGAATGACTGATTCTAGGAAATGAATAGAAAAAAATCTGTCTCCCCTCTGAGGGAGAAATAGGAAGTCTTTCTAACCATAGAACACATTGCTGTTTCTAGATAAAGACACTTGGAGAAACCATTGTTGCTTGGAGAAATATGTTTAAAAAATATTATTCTACCTGTGGCAGAAGGGTGGAACATCACCTCTGATTTAGGATCGTACACCAATGCTAAGCAGAAGTCTGCTACCACTAGCAGAAGGGCAGTAAACTCTCTCTTGCCCAAAAATGACTACAGATAAAAACAGATAATTTCTGCAATGGAAAGGATGTGTAAGAACATTGAGATAGCTGTAAATATAAGACTGACATGCACTGAGTTAGGCTAAGCCTGAAACTGGAGCAGGGTAACAGAGGACTTTGCTTCCCCTACCATGAACCCAGTACTAAGTAACAAGAGCAGTCTACTTTTGGGAGAGGGAAAGACTCTGGAAGAGCCCTCTCTGTGGCTGAGACACACCAGGATGGTTAAAAACTGAAGGAAAGGTGGAAAAGAAAAGCAATAGTGCCCCCTTATACATAATTTCACCTTCCACAGTTTCAGTCACCCACAGTCAACCATGGTTTGAAAATAGGAGAGTATAATACCAGAAGATATTTTGAGAGAGAGAGAGAGAGAGAGAGACCACATTCATTTGATTTTTATTACAGTATATTGTTATAACTTTTCTCTATTATTGTTGTTAATCTCTTATGCCTAACTTATAAATTAAATTTATCATAGGTATGTGTGTTTAGGAAAAAATACGGTATAGTATTAATATATATAGTATAAGGGTTGGTATTATCCATCATTTCTGGCATTCATAAAAACCTTTTGGTATCCCATTCCCCACTCTTACTACAAGATAACAGCAGACCATTGTTAGAGAACTTTGAAACCTGTGGTTTACTGGAGGTAATGATAGCAACAACAAAACCCAAAGATAACTCAACTCCTGACTAGAATAAGTCAAGTCTCCACAACAACAGCCTGACATGCCTGTTTCCAGCCATGAATACAGTATATCTCAGTCTTTACTACATCATTTTCAGAATTCAATAAAAAATCCAGAGACGAAAAATAGAGCAAGGAAAAACAACTGGGTCAAGAGCTAAAGCAGACAATATAACTAGATTCGGAGATAATTCAGGCACTGAGAGTAACAGTGAGAGAGTTTGGAATTTGAAATAACTATGACTAATATGCCAAAACCCTTAGCAGAAAACATGGAAAAAAATGAATAAACACGTGGGAAACTTCAGCAGAAAAATTAGAAAAAATCAGATGAAAATATTATAAATACGCATACATATGCATACACACAATATCAGAGATAAAGCATTCTTTTGATGGGATCACCAGATTTACCACAAGCTGTAAAATAATCAGTGAACTAAAAATGTGTCAGTATAGATTAATTTTAATATGTTCAAATTGAAACACAGAGAAAAAAATTCATAAAACAAGGACCACCCAATATTGGATAATATTTCCTTATCTCATTAACATGTAGTTAAAATACTAGGAGAGAAAAATGAGGCAGAAGAAATATTTGAAGACACAACAAAAGATATCAAACCATAGATCCAAAAAGCTCAGAGAAAGCCAAGCAGGATAAATACCAAACAGAGATATAGTAAAGCTATCGAAGAAGAATAAAAAAAAATCTGCAAAAGTCAGGAAAAAATCAAAACACATTGCATACAAAAAACGAAGATAAGAACAACAGCAGAAATCATTTAATTCAGAGGACAATGCAGTGACATTTTTTACAGTAATGGAAAAAAAAGGCAATGTAGAATTCTATACCCAGCAAAAGTATCCTTCAAAAATGAAGATAAAATATAAAATATTTTCAGACAAGCAAAATCTTAAAGGATTACTTGCCAAAATATCTGAGCTACACAAAATGTTAAAGAAAATTATTCAGGAAGAAGGCATATGATACTAGACAGACATGTGGAAGAGTGTTTGAAATGGTAAAAAATTAATGTAGATATAAAACATATTTTCTTCTTTTTAATCACTAAAATATATACTTATCTAAAGTTTTATTTTGACTATGCCAACTTTGAATTTCTCTTAGATAATCCAAATGAAGAAATCAAGAAGTTGGTTAAATCAACAATCCTGGAGCTCAGTGGGGTAAACTGAAACCGGAAACATTTAAATATTGTTAGCATGCAGGTGACATTTAAAGCCACAAGACCAGAAAAGATGATCTACAAAGAGGGTATAATTTGAGAAAATAAGAATGTAAGCACTGAGTCTTAGGAATATTTAACATGTGGACACAAGGAAGAGAAAAATGACCCAGAAAAGAAAATTGAAAGGCTTGGTATGTGAGCAAGAAAGAAAACCTGGAAGTGTTTGGTTTCAGAAGCCAAATGAAGACAGAATTTCAAGATAGTGGGACTGGCTTACTATCTGGAAGTGCTATCAACCAAAGTCTAATACTATGCAGATAGCAACTAGCATGGCCAATTTTGGGAATTCAAAGAAAAAATTTTAATGGAAGTGTTAATTACTATAATTCATTACAATGATACATCAAAGGAGATGAATAATACAATTATGTTTATAAATGTCCCAATAAGAAAGAGTAAAGGATATTAAGAGTAGAAATCTGAAACTCAGCGACTACTTTCAAACATAGTACTTGAAAAGTTTTCTAATTATTTAAAATATAATATCCTAATTTGTATAACTGGAGTTATAAGAGTCCTGATTTATAGAGGTGAGGTTGCAGTGGAATCATATAGGTAAAGTTCTTAGGATAGGGGTCATAGAAAGTACTGAATTTTTTTTTTTTTTTTGAGGCAGGGTTTCACTCTGTCACCCAGTCTGGAGTGCAGTGCTGTGATCATGGCTCACTGCAGCCTCAACTTCTGGACTCAGGTGATTCTCTTGCCTCAGTCTCCCAAGTAGCTGGGACTATGTGCACCACCATGCCTGGCTAATTTTAATACTTTTTGTAGTGACAGGATCTCGCTATGTTGCCCAGGCTGGTCTAGAATTTCTGGGCTCAAGCAATCCGCCCACATCAGCCTCTTAAAGGGCTGGGATTACAGGTGTGAGACACTGTGCCTGGACTGAATAATCATTTTTAATTAAAATTTGATAAGAATGAACTCCCATTCCTAACTGTTAAAGAAGATTATTTTTCTTTAACATGATAAAAAGTCTTAAACTACAGCAAAACTTTAAGGTAAATTAATTTTCACTGCAGTTACTTAACAATATCTTGGAAGTTCATGCTAGGTGAGAGAGTTCTAAAGAAAACAAGTAATTGCTATTAGAAAAGGAAAGAGTAACATCACCTGTCTGCAGATAATATAATTATCTATCTAGAAATTTAGAGAGAATAAAGTACTATTTAAACCAAGGTAATTTGCTCATATATCCAGATGAAAAATAAATGTGTGACAACTAGTACTCTTGCTATTTATCAGTAACTCTCTGGTAGGGTACATGAGAAAGGCCATATCTCATTGATTATTCAAATTTTAAAATATTAAATATCCAAAAATGCATAGTCATTGTATATCCATATATTATCAAAATATTCAGAGTATTATTACATTCTTTTCAGGGACATAAAATAACATCTTAATTATATATGTGTGTAATATTCTCAGATGGGAAAATGCCATAAACAGCTATCCCCAACACATTTATATAGATTTTTTTCAAAAATTAGAAGAAAAATTCCTTCTGGAAGGAACAGTTTTAATTTTTTTTCTCCTAAGTTCAACACTTCTTTTTGGGAAGAATAGAAAGATCAGCCAATAAAATGTTAAATGACAAGAGTCAGAAGGAGGGCACTTACTAGCCTCCCAGACAGTAAAACATACAAAAAATTCATGATGATAAAAACAGTATTTGTACTGGTGTAGTAGTAAAGTTCACTTTATATATGAATATAAATATCATATTCTGAAGGCATGCTGAATTAGTGTGTTTCAAATTAATGGAACTGGAAAGACTGACTAATCATTTGAAAGTAAATTAAGAATCTTATTTTGCCATGAGCCCAAATATGCAGCAGATGAACTGAAGACAAACATATAAATAATGGAACCATTAATTTTTAAGATGAATGTATTTGTAAATCTTTCTAAAATTTCAGCTTTAGGGATTACTTTTGCCTTATTGTAATAAAGACTAGCTTTCTAAATTTCAAAGATGGATCTAGAGGATATTTTGTCCTTCAAATGAGTGGGATTTTACACTAGAAATACAGGCTCACAAGATAGGAAACTAAGCAAGTTTTAATTTTTCCTCCTAGACTGTTCCTGTGGGTAATGAAATGGCAGGGAGTGGTAGCTAAAGATAGTAGAGAGGAATAGAGATTTTCACACTCTCAGCTGAATTGGTGCACACCAATGGAAAAGAGATTAGACTTTAATCTTGCTGCCTGTGTGTCTCCAAGAAAACTGGGTCTTGTCTTCCCAGGGAAGGCACTCTACTTCCCCTTGCAGGTCTTAACACTCAAACAACTGCAGCTTTGGTGAAGTGCCTATCTTATTTCATAGAACTACTCCAGACAGCCACCTGGAAGTCTCTGTTTATAGGGCCAACTAGGTATGGTTTAAATCTTATCAAGAATTGCCAAGAAGACTCAATTTTCTCTTATCTCTCTCTCTCTCATACACATATCCTACTTAAAATATATTACGAAATATTCTTTCATTAAAAAAATTTAATTCTAAATTTAATTCTAAATTCAAGCTTTTGCCTTATTAACTTGAATCTGTCAACTTTATACTTAACTCACATAATGTCTACAAGTTTCCAGCAATTTAGTGAACATGCTGGTGTTAAAGTATTTTTATAAAAGAGTGTGATACCACAGTTTCTTCCCCTAAATAAATGTTGGGTGAAAAATTAACATCTGACAGGAGATAATATTTGCAGCATATAAGAGTTAATATCAATACATCTTTAAAATCTTAATAAATAAGGGACAAATAAATATCCCAATGGAAATTTTGGAAAATGCCTAAGCAAACAATTCAGAAATGGATAAATATATATCAGCAATTAACATAGATTTAAAATGTTCATTTTTCCTAGAAAGCTAAGTAGATGCAAATTAAAACAGTAATACAACATTTTAAATTTTCAAATGGGATTTTAAAAATAAAATAACAAGACTGTATAAATAGGAATTTTTATATATTTTTAAAAATTGTAAACGGACACCATATTTAGGACAATTCAGCAGTACATAGTAAGAAATAAATTTCTCACTGAATGCCAAGACATTCTTTTAAGCTACTGTGTATATTAGCTCACTTAATCTTCATAACAGTCTTGAGGTGTAGGTATTATTATAGATGGTGGACACTACAGAAGTGAGAAAAATGACACACAGAGGGTATTTGTGACATTCCTAGGTGACATAGCTAGCAGGGGGCAGGACCAGGGGTCTAACTAAGGCAGGCTGCTTTCACAGTCCAACTTCAAAAGTACTCTTCTGTCACCCTGCTCAAGGTTTTACAATAGAAGTACTGCTGACATACAAACTTACGTTAGAAGAAGATGCTAAGGAAATAGTCATGAACATCCATAAAAATTTCCTTACCAATGTATCTTAGCAACACCGTTTACACTAGAAGAAAATTGAAAACATCCAACACAGAGCGTACCTGAATATAATAAGTGAAATAAAGATATATTGAAGTTATTAAAATGTTATAAAAAGTATGAGATGATATAAAAAATGTGCAATATATTTATTTGGTGAAAATACGTTAAAACAGTACAATATAACATTGTTTACAGACTCTGAAATTATAAATATCAAGGTAATGGGTTATTGTGTTTGATTAACGATATTTTTGTTTACTTTTAAGGTGTATTTATTTCTATAAATATTATAAAAAATCAAATAAATCTTTTAAGATAGAAGAAAACACATATGAAATTACTTAGTCTCCTCTAGGTAGACAGGGTTATTGTTTCTTTTTTGTAACTTTCATTTTAGGTTCAGTGGTACATGTGAAGGTTTCTTATATAGGTAAATTTGTGTCCTAAAGGTTTGTTGTACAGATTATTTCATCAACCAGGTATTAACCCTGGTACTCAATAGTTATTTTATTTATTTATTTGTTTTTGCTCCTCTCTTTCCTCCCACCCTCCACCTTCAGGAAAAACTGAAAAGAATTCAACATGATATTTTTATATTTGACTATATAAAAATGTAAAATATCTGTATGATAAAATCATTAAACTTTGAGGGCAAATTTTAAAATGTGAAAAATAAATGCTTCTCATTATACCTCACTCAAAATGTTTAATTTCTTTAATATATTAAAAGTTATTGTACATTGATAAGGAAAAAAACTAAACCAGAAAAATAAGCACTCTGACAGGAGGTAAATTAAAAAACAAAAGACACACACAAATGGCCAAAAGCACATTTAAGCATTGTGATGGTTAATATTGTCAAGTTGATTGGACTGAAAGATGCAAAGTATTGTTCCTGGGTGTGTCTGTGACAGTGTTGCCAGAGAAGATTAACATTTGAGTCAGTGGAGTGAGAGAGGTAGACTCACCCTCAATATGGGTGGGCACCATCCAATTGGATGCCAGTGCAGGCAGGAGAAGGCAGGCAGGAGAAGGTGGAAATAGCAAACTTGCTGAGTCTTCTGGCCTTCATCTTTCTCCCGTGCTGGATGCTTCCTGCCCTTGAACATCAGACTCCAAGTTCTTCGGCTTTTGGACTCTTGGACTTACACCAGTGGTTTTCCAGGGGCTCTTGGATCTTTGGCAACAGACTGAAGGCTGCACTGTTGGCTTCCCTACTTTTGAGGTTTTGGGACTTGGACTGAGCCAGTGTTAGCTTCCTTGCTCCTCAGCTTGCTGATGACCTATCGTGGGACTTGAGAGCCACAAGTAACAGACACCCCAAATTTAACTGGCATGTGTAACTGTCACTACTACTATCAATATGCTTGTATTAGGGTTCTCTACAGGGACAGACTAATAGAATATACGTATATATGAAAGGGAGTTTATTAAGGAGAATTGACTCACAGGATCACAAGGTGAAGTCCCACGATAGGTCACTATTATTACTCATCTAGACTAATGCAACGCTTCCTAACTGGTCCCTGGGATTCTGCCCTTACTCTTGGGCCCTCAAGTTCTCTTCTCCATTCAAAAGCCAGAGTGGCATTTAAAAGCTTAAAGCAGAGCATGGTACTCTGCTTCTCAGAACTAGCCAGGAACTTTCTATTGCACTGCCAATAAAATGCAAGCTACAATATTGCCCACCCTATGTCCTTTGTAAGGCTTACTCACTTTCCACCAAGCGATTTGTTATTTATGAATTATTACTTGTTTATTTTAAATATATGTCAGTATCTAACATAAGTAATTATATAGGCTAGGACCTTGTTGTATTGTTTATAGCTATATGCTGAGCACCTAGAAAAGTGCCTGAAACAGTGGGAGCTCTATAAAGATTCGTAGAATGGAATAGAATGCATGACTGAATTAATGAAATGATAATAGTGAAGGGAGTGCTCTTAAGTCAGTAAGGTAAAATTTAAAAGGTGAAATGAGAACACATTTTACTTCATTGGGAACATATCTGATCTATTTAAAGATCATTCCAATGTTCATTCCAATTATCCATGATTCTCAAAGCAGAATCAAGCACACGTTTTGATTTTGCTTTAAAAATCAGGGGTCTCAACTGATCTTATTTAATTTCACCTATAACTTTTTTTGTTTATGCATTAAATGCAAATGAAAGGTCAATATCAGGTCAATATAGTTTGTCACGCAGGAAGTCCTCACAAGGAAGAGAGGTCGTAACACTGATCATTCAGGGAATAGTTCATCTATATAATCTGCTCAGAATTTATTAAGAAAGAATTAAGTGTATATTTTAGATTGACTGTCTCAAAAGTTGTTTCTTCTCCAATATTTAGGAAAAAAAATTTTATTAAAAATATGAGCTGGCTTTCTGGGCAGGGCATCTCCAAAAAAAAGGCAGCAGCCCCAGTCAGGGTCTTATGGATAAAACTCTCATCTCCCTGGGACAGAGCACCTAGGAGAAGGGGTGGCTGTGGGCCCAGCTTCAGCCAATTTAAACGTCCCTGCCTGCTGGCTCTGAAGACCGTGGCGGATCTCCCAGCACAGCATTTGAGCTCTGCTAAGGGTCAGACTGCCACGTCAAGAAGGTCCCTGACCCCCATGTCTCCTGACTGGGAGATACCTCCCAGCAGGGGCCGACAGACACCTCATACAGGAGAGATCTCGCTGGCACCTGGCAGGTGCCCCTCTGGGACAAAGCTTCCAGACCAAGGAACAGGCAGCAATCTTTGCTGTTCGGCAGCCTCTGCTGGTGATACTCAGGCAAACAGGATCTGAAGTGGACCTCCAGCAGACCTGCAGCGGACGGGCCTGGCTGTTAGAAGGAAAACTAACAGCAGATAGGAATACCATCAACATCAACAAAAAAGACATCCACTCAGAAACCACATCAGAAGGTCACCAAATGAAAGACTAAAAGTAAATAAGTCCACAAAGATGGGGAGAAACCCACACAAGAAGGCTGAAAATTCCAAAACCCAGAAAGCCTCTTCTCCTCCAAAGGATCACAACTCCTCACCAGCAAGGGAACAAAACTGGATGGAGAATGAGTTTGATGAATTGATAGAAGTAGGCTTCAGAAGGTGGATAATAAACTCCTCCAAGCTAAAGGAGCATGTTCTAACCCAATGCAAGGAAGCTAAAACCTTGAAAAAAGGTTATTAGATGAATTGCTAACTAGAATAACCAGTTCAGAGAAGAACATAAATGACCTGATGGAGCTGAAAAACACAGCATGAGAACTTCGTGAAGCATACACAAGTATCAATAGCCAAATTGATCAAGCAGAAGAAAGGATATCAGAGATTGAAGATCAACTTAAAGAAGGTGTGAAGACAAGATTAGAGAAAAAAGAATGAAAAGGAATGAACAAAGCCTCCAAGAAACACGGGACTATGTGGAAAGATCAAACCTACGTTTGCTTGGTGTACATGAAAGTGACGGGGAGAATGGAACCACGCTGGAAAACACTCTTCAGATTATTATGCAGGAGAACTTCCCCAACCTAGCAAGACAGGACAACATTTAAATTCAGGAAATACAGAGAACACCACAAAAATACTCCTTGAGAACAGCAACCCCAAGACACATAATCATCAGATTCACCAAGGTTAAAACGAAGGAAAAAATGTTAAGTGCAGCCAGAGAGAAAGTTTGGGTTACCCACAAAGAGAAGCCCATCAGACTAACAGCAGATCACTCAGCAGAAACCCTACAAGCCAGAAGAGAGTGGGGGCCAATACTCAACATTCTTAAAGAGAAGAATTTTCAACCCAGAATTTCATATCCTGACAAACTAAGCTTCCTAAGAGAAGGAGAAATAAAATCCTTTACAGACAAGCAAATGCTGAGAGATTTTGTCACCACCAGGCCTGCCTTACAAGAGCTCCTGAAGGAAGCACTAAACATGGAAAGGAACAATTGGTAAAAACCACTGCAAACACATACCAAATTGTAAAGACCATTGGCGCTATGAAGAAACTGCATCAACTAACAGGCAAAATAACCAGCTAGCATCATAATGACGGGATCAAATTCATACATAACAATATTAACCTTAAATGTAAATGGGCTAAATGCCCCAATTAAAAGACACAGACAGGCAAATTTGATAAAGAGTCAAGAGCCATCAGTGTGCTGTATTCAGGAGCCCCATCTCATGTGCAAAGACACACATAGGCTCAAAATAAAGAGATGGAGGAAGATCTACCAAGCAAATGGAGAGCAAAAAAAGCAGGGGTTGCAATCCTAGTCTCCCTGAAAAAACAGACTTTAAACCAACAAAGATCAAAAGAGATAAAGAAGGGCATTACATAATAGTAAAGGGATCAATGCAACAAGAAGAGCTAACTATCCTAAATATATATGCACCCAGTACAGGAGCACCCAGATTCATAAAGCAAGTTCTTAGAGACCTACAAAGAGAATTAGACTCCTACACAATAATAGTGGGAGACTTTAACACCCACCCCACTGTCCATATTAGATCAATGAGACAGAAAATTAACAAGGATATTCAGGACTTGAACTCAGCTCTGTACCAAGTGGACCTAATAGACATCTATAGAACTCTCCACCCCAAATCAACAGAATATACATTCTTCTCAGCACATCACGCTTTTCTAAAATTGACCATATAATTGCAAGTAAAACACTCCTCAGCAAATGCAAAAGAACAGAAATTATAACAAACAGTCTCTCAGACCACAGTGCAATCAAATTAGAACTCAGGATTAAGAAACTCACTCAAAACCACACAACTACATGGAAACTGAACAACCTGCTCCTGAATGACTACTCAGTAAATAACAAAATTAAGACAGAAATAAATAAGTTGTTTGAAACCGATGAGAACAAAGACACAATGTACCAGAATCTCTGGGACACAGCTAAAGCAGTGTTTAGAGGGAAATTTATGGCACTAAATGCCTACCAGAGAAAGCAGGAAAGATCTAAAATCGACACCTTAATGTCACAATTAAAAGAACTAGAGAAGCAAGAGCAAACAATTTCTAAAGTTAGCAGAAGACAAGAAGTAACTAAGATCAGAGCGGAACTGAAGAAGATGGAGACATGAAACACCCTTCAAAATATCAATGAATCCAGGAGCTGGTTTTTTGAAAAGATCAACAAAATAGATAGACCGCTAACCAAACTAATGAAGAAAAGAGAAGAATCAAACAGATGCAATAAAAAATGATAAAGGGGATATCACCACTGATCCCACAGAAATACAAACTACCATCATAGAATACTACAAACACCTCTACACAAATAAACTAGAAATTCTAGAAGAAATGGATAAACTCCTGGACACTTACACCCTCCAAAGTCTAAACCAGGAAGAAGTAGAATCCTTGAACAGACCAATAACAATTTCTGAAATTGAGGCAGTAATAGCCTACCAACCAAAAAAAAAGTCCAGGACCAGACAGATTCACAGCCAAATTCTACCACTGGTACAAAAAGGAGCTGGTACCATTCCTTCTAAAAGTATTCCAGACTGTAGAAAAAGATGGACTCCTCCCTAACTCCTTTTACGAGGCCAGCATCATCCTGATACAAAAACCTGGCAGAGACACAACAACAACAAAAGGAAAATTTCAGGCCAATATCCCTGATGAATATCAATGTGAAAATCCTCAATAAAATACTGGCAAACTGAATCCAGCAGCACATCAAAAAGCTTATCCACCATGATCAAGTCAGCTTCATCCCTGAGATGCAAGGCTGCCTCAACATATGCAAATCGATAAACATAATCCGTCACATAAACAGAACCAATGACAAAAACCACACGATTATCTCAATAGACACAGAAAAGGCCTTTGATAAAATTCAGTACCCCTTCATGCTAAAAACTCTCAGTAAACTAGGTATTGATGGAATGTATCTCAAAATAAGAATTATTTATGACAAATCACAGCCAACATCATACTGAATGGGCAAAAACTGGAAGCATTCCCTTTGAAAACCAGCACAAGACAAGGATGCCCTCTCTTACCACTCCTATTCGACATAGTATTGGAATTTCTGTCCAGGGCAATCAGGCAAGATAAAGAAATAAAGGGTATTCAAACAGGAAGACAGGAAGTAAAGTTGCCTCTGTTTGCAAATGACATGATTGTATATTTAGAAAACCCCATCATCTCAGCCAAAAATCCTCTTAAGCTGATACGCAATTTCAGCAAAGTCTCAGGATACAAAAGCAATGTGCAAAAATCACAAGCATTCCTATACACCAATAATCGACAATCAGAGAGCCAAATCACGAGTGAACTCCTATTCACAATTGCTACAAAGAGAATAGAATACCTAGGAATACAACTAACAAGGGATGTGAAGGGACCTCTTCAAGGAGAACTACAAACCACTGCTCAAGGAAATAAGAGAGGACACAAATAAATGGAAAAATATTCCATGCTCATGGATAGCAAGAATCAATATCGTGAAAATGGCCATACTGCCCAAAGTAATTTATAGATTTGATGCTATCCCATCAAGCTACCATTGACTTTCTTCACAGAATTAGAAAAAACTACTTTAAATTTCATATGGACCAAAATAGAGCCCACATAGCCAACACAATTCTAAGCAAAAAGAACAAAGCTGGAGGCATCACGCTACCTGACTTCAAACTATACTACAAGGCTACAGTAACCAAAATAGCATGGCACTGGTACCAAAACAGATATATAGACCAATGGAACAGAACAGAGGCCTCAGATATAACACCACACATCTACAACCATCTGATCTTTGACAAACCTGACAAAAACAAGCAATGGGGAAAGGATTCTCTATTCAATAAATGCTGTTGGAAAAACTGGCTAGCCATATGCAGAAAACTGAAACTGGACTCCTTCCTTACACCTTACACAAAAATTAACTCAAGATGGATTAAAGACTTAAAAATAAGACTTAAAACCATAAGAACCCTAGAAGAAAACCTAGGCAATACCATTCAGGACATAGGCATGGGCCAAGACTTCCTGACTAAAACACCAAAAGCAATGGCAACAGAAGCCAACATTGACAAATGGGATCTAATTAAGCTAAAGAGCTTCTGCACAGCAAAAGAAACTGTCATCAGAGTGAACAGGCATCCTACAGAATGGGAAAAAATTTTTGCAATCTATCCATCTGACAAAGGGCTAATATACAGAATCTACAAAGAACTTAAAAAATTTACAAGAAATAAAAAACAACCCCATCAAAAAGTGGGCAAAGGAAATGAACAGATACTTCTCAAAAGAAGACATTTGTGCAGCCAACAGATATATGAAAAAAAGCTCATCATCACTGGTCATCAGAGAAATGCAAATCAAAACCACAATGAGATACCATCTCACACCAGTTAGAATGATGATCATTAAAAAGTCAGGAAACAACAGATGCTGGGGAGGATGTGGAGAAATAGAATGCTTTTACACTGTTGGTGGGAGTGTAAATTAGCTTAACCATTATGGAAGACAGTGTGGTGATTCCTCATGGATCTAGAAACAGAAATACCATTTGACCCAGCAACGCCATTATTTGGTATATACCCAAAGGAGTATAAATCATTCTACTATAAAGACATATGCACGTGTATGTTTATTGTGGCACTGTTCACAATAGCAAAGACTTGGAACCAACCCAAATGTCGATCAATGATAGACTGGATAAAGAAAATGTGGCACATATACACTATGGAATACTATGCAGCCATAAAAAACCATGAGTTCATGTCCTTTGCAGGGACATGGATGAAGCTAGAAATCATCATTCTCAGCAAACTAACACAAGAACAGAAAACCAAACACTGCATGTTCTCACTCATAAGTGGGAGTTGAACAATGAGAACACTTGGACACAGGAAGGGGAACATCACACACCGGGGCCTGTCGGTTGTTGGGGGGCTAGGGGAGGTATAGCATTAGGAGAAATACCTAATGTAGATGACGGGTTGATGGGTGCAGCAAACCACCATGGCATGTGTATATCTATGTTACAAACCTGCACGTTCTGCACATACATCCCAGAACTTGAAGTATAATAAACAAATATATGAGATGATCTCCAAGAGATTTATATACCTTTGTTCACATCCTACTGTGAATAATAACATTATTCACAATAGCCAAAAGGTGGAAGCAACCCATGTGTCTACCAACAGATGAATGGATAAACAAAATGTGGTTTATGCATACAATGAAATATTACTATTCAGCCCTAAAAAGGAAGGAAATTCTGACACACGCTACAACATGAATGAACTTTTACGACATTATGCTAAGTGAAATGAGCCAGTCACAAAAAGACAAATACTGTACAATTCCATTTATATGAGGTACCTGGTATAGTTAAATCCCTAAAAACAAAGTAGAATGGGGACTGACAAGGGTATCAGGGGAATATAGAGTTATTGTTTAATGAGTACAGAATTTTAGTCTTGTAGGATGAAAAGGATTCTGGAGATTGATTGTAGGATAGAAAGCATTCTGGAGCAATGTGAATGTTCTTCACACCACTAAAGTATACATTTAAAAATGATTAAGATGGCACATTTTATGTTATGTATATTTTAACAAAATTAAATATTTAAAAAATAAGATGAAGTATACTTTTAATTCAACTACATGCAATGTTTCCAAAATAGATGGTGAAGGTAAACAAATCATTGGAAATCAAAGCTCACTCTTAGAAAGATCCTTGAACAATTCTCAGTTTACAAACCTTTCAAAGTTTTTTTATACTTTCAAGTATCATACAATGAGAGACTGGCACAAAAAAAATCAATCAGAAGATAGCCTGAAACCTTTAAAATTCAAAGGTTAGTTAAGTCAATTAACAAAGGTTAGAAAAATAAGCCTTCCAGGAGTGCCTTGTATCTTACTCTCCACAAAGTCACCCATCAATTTTATATCTTGAGTATGTCAAAGAATACCCAGATAACAAGTGCTGCCAACCAACCTTAGATCCTCTACAAGAACTTGTTATACTTGAGGTTTTCTTTGAATCAATAAAAAACTTATAAAAGCATTACACTTACAAGTCATGTTAAGTGCCTTCTGTTGATTTTTGGATATACATGGCCTCATTTATTTGTTCTGGCTTTTGCCATTGTCTTTGGTTTTAGATCTTCGTTACATGACAGTGTTTGTTAAACTCAGAAGTGGTAGGTCAAATTAAATATTTTGGTATTTTACATTTAGTTATATACCCTGTGGATAGAACCAGTTGTAAAAAAAAAAAATCAATCTAGTATTTGGAACTAATTTCACAAACATCATGTGATGCACATATACTTCTAGGCTGTAAGAGAGATTTTTATGCCCAGATGAAGTGACAAGTCACTACTTACTCAAGTTTATAAAAAATGGTGTTATTTACCATGTGCTGTTTCTCAAAAGAATGTTAAAGTGTTTTCAAATTTGAAAATGTAAATCAAATATGAGTTTCATTATTTGGAGTGTCAATGTAGTCTGGAATATTTTACAATTATGGCCATATTTGAAAAAAGAAAAAAACTCACATCACACACTCAATCCATGGTTGTCACCCTTTCAGATTGTCCTCTGCAGTATCTTTTTAGTCAATAAGTTCTCTGGATACGTATATTAACCCAGGGCTTTACTTTAATAAAAGGCTATTTGTTCTTTCTTTTTATAAAGACTTTTATTTTCCTTCTAGCAAAATACTGAGGTTACTCCAAAAATAATCCTGTCCACCAGTTTTAGATTAAGACCATCACATGCAACATTGTGAAGAATTACTGTAAACGTGTGTATAATGATTGCTCCAAATGTACCAGTAAATTACCGTGGACAGAATTTGAAGTATTATAGTTAAATAAAAAAATAAGTTGCTTTTGAATGTTAAAGCAACATTATTTACTTTCAAAACAAGGATATAGCAAATTTTGGAAATTATCTGGGTGATTTATGACTCAGTTTTTACATAATCAAGGCTTCAATGATCAGATTATTCTATTGCCCTTTCCTAGTTTCCAAAGCAGATATGGATTCAGCCAGAATAGTTTTAAAAGTTCATGTATTTCCTGAGTCATGGTGTTTCACAAGTGAGAATACACAATGAGAATGCTTCCGGCCCCAGTGGCATAGGATGTTTAACAGGGCTTAATCACATCCATAAAAGTCTCTCCTAAAACAAAACGTATTGCTTATGAATGACGTCTATTGCTGTCTTGTTTCTTTCAGGTGGTGACTTCGTGGACAAAAAAATGACTAATACACAATACCCAAAATAAATTATATCTCTTCCACTCCCATTTCCCACAAGCTCCTTCCCACACATACTTGTTTTAAGTGAATGGAAATAAAGCCAAAACAATCTAGACTGCCAAGTTCCATTGTGTATATAGTAGTCATTTTCAGCCTAGGGTGACATCCCAGCCTCTTCTCCCTGGCCCTCACAAATGCCCCTGCCCTTTTAATTACAGAAAGCATTCTTCTTGCACTTCTGCCCCAAAGAACTCAGAAGCATTTTTAAGGGATCTTTTTCTTACCAACATTTTGTAGCTAGAGATTATTGAATAGATATTATTGAAAGATAACACTACACCTAAGGATATTTCCATGTACTTGAGTCATCTCTGAGTAGAAAAATTAAACAATATAATACAGGGCTGAGAAAGACCAAAGAGACTGTCTAGTTCACCTTTCCTGTGTTAAAGACCAGCAAAGAGGTACTGCCAAGGCTTCAATGGTCAGATTATTATATTCTAAGCTAACTTGTCACTTAAGCACTAGCCCCGGCTAACTCTTCATCTAACACCATTTCTACTTTGTCAGTCTACCAAGTTGCTGACCTAGCAGTGAATCAGGATGAGAGAAGATGCCTAAAACCACTTAGTTGTTTAGACCTCAAGTCAAATACTTTAGGCAAGATGAATCAAGTACTGACTAAACTGAGATTTTTTTTTTCCAGGAATCAGGTAAACAGAGGAAAAAAAAATAACATACTTGAATTTTTCTCCTCTCATGCAACCTTTATTTCCTTTCCAGGAGATACTAATAAAAAATGGAGGAGAATGGGGAAGTAAAAGGAAAATAAAAAATTCAGATCACTTTCAAAAAATTAGATAATGCTTAGACTGTATCCACTCCAGTGTAGTCAAACTTGGTAAACCAAGGGTCTTTCAGCCACTTGGTAGCAGCAAATGAATTTTTTGTTGAACTGGATTAAGATGAAGAATAAAAATCAGACTAAGTTTTCCATTGTGTATCAAGATAGCTTTTTGTCAGATAGAGAAAAATTCTTCTCTGTAAATCTTATAATGTGTATTTTCCTCCTTGTGTTAATAGTTAGAAAACTCAGAGTCAAATTTATGGCCTCTCTCTAGCAATAATACAGTGTCTATTGCATGTATTTTTATTCTAATCTTAACCCTAGCTCCAACTTGTTCTCCTCTTTTTCACTCTCCCTTATTTGTGACTTATAATTTCAAATCATTTTTGGAGTGAGGAATAGTATAAATTAAACATATAATCCACAAACCATACATTTTATCATTTCTCTTCCTGGGCACAAGCTGAAAAAAAAAAAAAAAAACCCCAAGGGGAAAATGTATTCTATGCAGTGGTGAGAATGCTATTCATGAAGTTAAAACCAAGCTATACTATTCTCCTTTATTCTCCGGTTGTAGGGGATTTTCTTGGGAATTTACCTATGTTCCATGATAATGAGCAGAAATAGGAATACACTCAAATGAATAGAACTTGGCAAATCAAAATGTGCTCCTTCCTCCAAGCACACAGTCAATTTCCAGGTGATGGTTCATTAAAGTTGACACTAAGCACAGTCTTTGGGGCCAGTGGAATGTACTGGGAAATGTCACAGAACTTGTAGTATGAGGGGATTGGGGCAGGAGATACGTGTTTGTACGTGTATGTGTGTGCCCACATGTGTATTCATCTACTCACAGGTAAAACCAAATTCTTCTAGCCCAGAAATAAGACTCCATAGACCCATAAGACAAAATTCCTGAGATTGCAGGAGTCACATATTCTGGAGACTACTCTGTCCAACAATATTCAAATAAAGTTTCCTTAGTAGTTTTTTTTTTTTTAATTTTGTTGTGGTCAAGAACTGTAACACACAATTTGCCATCTTATTTTTTAAATTTGCAGTTCAGTAATGTTAAGCTCATTCACATTGTTGTGCAACAGATCTCTAGAATGCTTGTCATATTGCAGAACCAAAACCCTGTACCCATTAAACAATAATTCCTCATTACCCCCTCCCCACGCCAGCCCCTGGGGAACCACCATTTTACTTTCTGTTTCTATAAATTTGACTACTCTCTGTGCCTCACAGAAATAGAATCATACAGTATTTGTCTTTTTGAACTGGCTCATTTCACTTAGCGTAATGTCCTCAAGGTTCATCCATGTTGTACCATGTGTCAAAGTTTCATTTCTTTTTAAGGCTGAATAATATTCCATTGTGTGTATAAACTACATTTTGTTCATCCATTCATCTGTTGGTGGATACCTGGTTTGTTTCCACCTTTTGGCTATTGTAGAGAATAATGCTACAAACATGGGTGTGCACATTTCAAGTCCCTGCTTTCAATTATTTTGTGTATATACCCAGAAGTGAGATGGCTGGATCATATGGTACTATTTTCCATAGTGGCCGCACCATTTTACACTGCCACCAACAGTACAGAAGGGTTCCAATTTCTCCACATCCTTTTAAACAATTGTCATTTTATGTTTATTAGATAATAGTCATCCTAGTGCAAGTGAAGTAATATCTTATTGTGGTTCCATTTGTTTTGAAAATAGAATTTTCAGAAAACCATTCTGTATTTCAGAGGACGTTTAAGAGGAGAAAGAAGTATTCGATAAAAGATTAGTAGATTTACAAGTGATTTGTAAGAGAAAACAATCCTTATCAGACAGTCTGACATGAACTCTGTTAATAACATGAAAACAAAACCGATTCTCTCCTAAACTCCCAAAGCCTTGCCCTGGGTTTCAAGCCTCTATGACTAATACACTGATATAAACTGTGAGGCCTGGCTGGTTGTGATTTGTCATCACTGTTGAATTTCTTCAGAAACAGCAATAGGTGGCAGCAAAAAAGATTGTAAATGGTTTGTCTATTTAAAGAGAAAGCAGGAGTTCCAATTCATCCTTTTTACTTTTTTTTCCCCTAAGCATTCTTCATTTGATAAAACCCAAAACATATTTAGCCCTGAGCAACAACCCTTCCCCCTCTTTTTAAACATGTGTGTGTCTCAAGAGAATGCATCCATATGTTTCTGATTCATTTACAATTAATTCATCAAAATGTTGTTTTGATGTCCAAGAAGCTTTATTAAGGCTCTCTCATGTGTCTTTTTTCTTAGAAACAGGAAATCATGCCTTGCCAAGAGCCAAACTCAAAACACTAAAGGGTTTTGAGCTGCGTTTGAAACATTGGGACCTCAACATCTAAGCAGCTGCCAAACTTGGACGAGAACATCTCTTCATCTCTCCATGCAAGCCAAACTCAGATTTAATGTAAGATCCATCTTTGGCTCTTGAGATGCTGAGCATGACGCAAGCCCTTTTTGTATAAACACCATAACCTTCCAGGTGGGCAGCAAAGCAGTATGAGGATGAGAAGGAATATCAACAATTTTTTTAAAAAATTTATACTAGCAAAACATAATGAGTGTATTAAAATGGCTGTAGACAGTACGTTCACAGATAAACCCCTGAACAGTCTCTTTCATCTAGTCTGTCTTGTTTCCAGTTTGTAAGTGATCTCAAACAAAATGGCTTAACACCAGGTGATGTTAAATATTACAGAGCCAAAGCTGTTCTTTATCCACATGGTCTCTCTACATACCAAACTTTCCTTTCACAGGGATCAGTGTCATTCAGGCTTCAGTACTCTAAGCATCAATACTTCAACCATCTCTGGGATTCTGTTCCTCTTGCACCTGAACTCATACAGGTTTATATGTTACATCAACCCACTTCAAATGCTCCAGTCTAGCCAAATAGGTCAGCTTTCTCCAAATCTCACCTTATGCTTTCAGATCTTCAAGTCTTTGTTCAGATTCCTTGTTACTCTGCTTCTCTGCATCTCACTTTCCTTCCACTGGCTTTACTCTTGCTTCCTTCTGAAGGCCAGACATGTCAAGTTCACCCTGATACCATATCTCCTTCTTATAAATGCCTTACAGTACTTATTTTAGAATACATGGCCATTAGCCAGGCACTGTTCTGAAACATCTTTTTTTCTTTTTGACACAGGATCTCACTCTGTCACCTAGGCTGGAGTGCAGTGTGGCATGATCACAGCTCACAGCAGCCTCAACCTTCTAGGCTCAAGAGACCTCCCACCTCAGCCTCTCAAGTAGCTGAGGCTACAGGTGTGTCACCATGCCTGTCTGATTTTTTTATTTTTTGTAGAAATGGGGTTTTGCCGCATTGCTCATACTGGTCTCAAACTCCTGGGCTCAAGTGATCCATCCACCTTGGCCTCCCAAACGGCTGGGATTACAGGTGTGAGCCACCGTGCTCAGCCTAAAACATCTTTTTTGTTGCAATCTTACATATACTAAAAAATGAATTAGCCTAAATTGTTTTTCTAATATTATATTGCTTTTCTAACTACCTACTAGCATTTTATGTGCTAAGGAGAATAAATAATACATGAAGATTGTTTAACAAATGAGAAAAAATTAACTGCATTTAGAAAATCTCACATAAGAGATAAAGGAGGATTTTTTTATTTATGTAAGACTCTGGTTTTGTAAATATGGAAGCTGCAGATAATGATTCCAGAGGAATTTTTAGAGAAACAAAATTTAACAATGATATAATTACTGTGGAGGGGAAGGATCAAGGTCTAATCCTGCTAAAGTCACATCTACCAGGTATATTCCTAAGGTGCCTTAAAGTCTATTGTATATACCAGCATGAAAAGGAAACAAAAATTAAAATATGCATTTTATATTAATTTATAACAAATAATTATTGGTTAATGATATGAGAGTATACAGAATATTGCAAATCTGAAACAAATGTCAACCAAACTTTGTGAAAATGGTAGAAAGAACTCTAAAAAGAAAGAAAAAGAAATATTAAAGAAAATAATGCGACTGCATGCACAGCTTTACGGTAAGCTAAGATTTTCAAAACGACATTGGAGAGATGTGTAAAGTATGCTGAAGATATGTTTCCGCCTGCTTCAATCTGGAGGAGTTGAAGTCCATCTGCCACTGAAGGGGCAGAAGGGGAGAGTGGCCACTCTCAAAACTCTTCAGTGCCAGAAGAGCCAGAAAGATGATGAATATTACTCTTGAAAACATCAAAACCACCTAAGCCATTCCACTGACATCCCATGAAAGAGATCAAGTTCAGGGATACTGTTGCCAGTTACAAGAGCAAGATCCCCTTCGGGAGGGACTGGAAGTCCCTGCTGCTGGCTGACAGCAGAAAAGAAGCCTGAGAATCTGAAATCAAAGGAGCTTGCTTTTCAGGCCACAAAGTGTAAAACATGACTAAGAGAAAATCCAGTCTCAAGATATGGGCAACCAATTTCTGATCAACAGAAAACATCACATTTCACTAAAGCCAAGTCATACTAGATTAAGTGCAGTTCCATAAAGGAACAAGTTACAATTTGGGTGGGTAGGGGGCAAGATACCTGAGAAAATATCTGATAACAAGTGCTTAAAAAGTTGTACATAATCACTTTCCATTTTTTAATTGTAAGTAGAATTATGAGTTTGTGGTCCTAAAAGATAGGCATTTGATATTTAAATGCAATATAAAATGAATTTGGCTAATCAGTCTTATGATTCCAAATTTACAATGTATTATTAAATAATTGATGTTTAAGTTTTAAAATCTCATAAAGTTATAATATACAAAATAAAAGTTTTAAGACTTTAGGGAAAATTAATGTTTAGAAAAAGCTTAATGTATTACATTAGAAAATCTTAAGCATTTGGGAATATTTGTCTGATAATTAAAGTACTTTAAAAAAACTAAAACATATTAAAATAATTAATGCAGTTTAAAATTTTTTTTATTTTAAGTTTTTAAGTGATACCAAATATTAATCATATGCTTCCTAAAAAGTGATTGCTAAAATTTTCCAAATATAAATAGTAAAATAAGGGGTGATATCAGCAATGTGGAATAGGAAACCCAAGATCCTCTGCAAATACACTGAAAAATACACAGACTGATTCCCTCTGAGAAAAATCCAGAAACCTGTTAAGAGGCTTCTGAACCCCAGGCAAATGCCAATCCAGCCACATCAACACTGGTAGAAAAATTCATGGTACTCATAATAGTCCCTACCCCTGCCACAGTGCACTGATATGGGAGAAAACTCCCAGGTGTTAACTTCTTCCTGGGGAGAAAAATGAAGACCAGACCATACATCCAGTGTTCATACTTTGCAGTTGAGGCACTGCCCAAGGGATTGGCTCTATCTTGCTTAAATCTAAGAGCTAGCAGGAAAGGGCATAGGGTTGACGATACTGATAACAAAGGCAACAGACTGGGCTAGTATGCACTCGTTTGCCATAGTCCCTTTCACCAGCTCGGTGTGGAATAGTCAGGAGAACATCCCCAAACCTGGCTTCTCCCTGGGGCAGGAAAGAGTTGGAGTGTACATCCCACATTCCAGTTTTTCAAGGGGCCTGTCCAAGGAACTTATTTCTGTCTCATCTATCTCAGAGTGCTGATGGGACATGGCATACTGTAGATGCTTGGAAGCCACCAAGAACAAAAGAAACCTAGATGATTTGCTGTTCCAGAGGATGTGTAGTACAACAGACAGAAGTTAAAGCAACTTAATGGCCCTTTCCATTGGACAGGGGAGTGGAGTACAGATCCAACATTCCAGCTTTTAGGATAACTACCCAAGAAACTGTTTTCTGTCTCACCCAATGTGTATCACTGATGAGATCTAGTATATTTTAGAAGCCTGGGGGACACTGAAAGCAAACAAAAGAATTTGCAACAGCTCCACATAACCGCGGTACCATAGACAGACACCAGAGGGAATAAGATTTTAGAAATTCCATTAAGGGGCACCAGCAGATCCCTGAAATCAGGAATTTACTTGCACAATCCAGGGAAGACGCATCCACAGGAAAAAAAAAAAAAAAAAAAGAAAAAGAAAAAAATTGAGAAGTTGTCATAATCTCCAGCCAGGGTGATTAGTAAACGTCTTTTCCTGTATGAAGCCACTCCATAAAGACTGGGAGAGGAGGCTGTTTTTTAAAGTGTGTGGATTGCAACACAAAGTCATGAGGCACAGGAAGAAACAGAAGACATAGCCCATTCAAATGAATAAAATAAATTTCCAAAAATAACCCTAAAGAAACAGAGGTATGGGTGATGAATTCAAAGTGCTAAAATAAAAAAAAAACTGTCAACCAAGAATTTTATAGCCAGCAATATTATGCTTCAAAAATAAGGGAAAATAAAAACTTTCTCAGATAAAGAAATGCTGAGAAATGTCACCGCCATCAGACTTGCCTTCCAAGAAATGCTAAATGGAATCCTTCAAGCTGAAACTAAAAGATGCTAGACAGAAACACAAAAGTATCTAAAAGTATAAAACTAGCTGGTAAAAGTAAATACATAGACAGACACAGAATACTCATACAGTAATAGTGCATAAATCATTTGGTATAGAAGTTAAAAATAAGTATAAAAAACTATAGCATATAAAATATGTAAAATGGATATAAAATATACAAAGTTGTAATTTGTGACATCAATAACATAAAGTGTTCCAGAATGGGAAAATTCAAAGTACAGAGCTTGTGCATATAACTAAAGTTGTTATCACCTTAGAATACATGGTTATAATTATAAGACATTTTATGTAAGCCCTATGATAACCATGAAGACAATACCTATAGAAGATACAAAAAGAAAAGGAAAAGATAAAGCACATAATTATGACAAATAAATAAAATACAAAGGAAGATAGCAAGAGAGGAGAAGGACAACAAAACTAAGAGACAGACATAAAACAATTAACAAAATCTAATAATAATCCACTCCATCAGTAATTACTTTAAATGTAAATGGATAAAATTGTCCAATTAAAAGACATATAAAGGCTGAATGGATTTTAAATATGATTCAACCATATGCTGTCTGCAAGAAACTTGCTTTAGATTTATAGACATATATATGCTGAAGTAAAGAGATGGAAAAAATATTCCATGAAAATTGTAACCAAAAAAGGTTAAAAAGGCCATACTTATAGCAGAAAAAAATAGACTGTAAATCAAAAACTGTCACAACAGACATATCGACATTATATTATAGTAAGTGGTTCAATTCACAAGGAAGATATAAAAATTCTAAGTACACATGCAGCCAACATCAGACCACTCAAATATATGAAGCAAACATTAATAGAACTGAAGGGAGAAATAAATTACAATTAATAATAGGAGATTTTAACTTCAGCTTCAATAATGGAAAGAACATCCAGACAGATGATCAGTAAGGAAACAGGACTTGAACAATGCTCTAGATGAAAGGGACCTAGCAGACAAAAATAGAATATATCATCTAACAACAGCAGAATACAAACTCTTCTCAAGCGCTCATGGATCAGTCTCCATTGTAGATCACAATTTAGGCCACAGAACAAATCTTTAAAAATCTAGGAAGATTGAAATCATACAAGTTATCTTTTCTGACTACAGTGAAAATAAACTAGAAATCAATAACAGACAGAAAATTGGAAAAGTCACAAATATGTGAAAATTAAACACACTCTTGAACAGCCAATAGATCAAAAAAGAAACCAAAAGGTAAATTAGAAAGTATCTTGAGATGAATGAAAATTAAAACACAACATATCAAACATATGGGATGCAACAAAAGCAGTACTAAGAGGGAGGTTTATAGTGGTAAATGCCTACATCAATAAAGAAAAATATTAAATAACCAACATAATTTTCACCTTGAGGAACTAGAAAGGGAACAAACTAAGTCCAAAGTTAGCAGAAGGAAAGAAATAGTAAAGTCTAAAGCAGATGAAATAGGTGAAATAGGGTATGAAAAAAAAAAGCAGAAAAAAATAATGAAATGAATAGTTTGTTTAAAAGAACAATAAAATTGACAAAACTTTACCTATACTAGCTAAGAAAAAAAGAAGACTCAAATCAATAAAGTCAGTAATGAAAGTGGGATGTTACATAGAAATATAAAGAATTGTAAGAAACTACTATGAAGAATTATACACCCACAAATTGGATAACAGAAGAAATAGATAAATTCCTAGAAACATATAAAATTGAATTTTGAAGAAATAGAAAATTTGGACAGACCTATAACTAGTAATGAGAATGAATCAGTATTCAAAACCTTCCCAACAACAACAGTAACAAAAAGCCCAGGACCAGGAGGCTTCACTGGTGAATTCCACCAAACACTCAAAAAGAATTAACACCAATCCTCTCACACTCGTCCAAAACCCTGAAGAAGAGAAAACACTTCCAAACTCATTTTATAAAGCTAGCATTTTCCCCATACCAGGACCAGACAGAGACACTACAAGAAAATAAAACTACAGGCCAATATTCCTAATAAATATGGATGAAAAAACCCTCAGCAAAAGGCAATAAACTGAATTCAACAGGATATTAAAAGGATTATACACCATCGCCAAGTGGGATTTATCCCTAAGGTTCAGGGATGGCTCAGAGTACCAAAAACAATCAAAGTGATAAATCATATTAACAGAATGAAGGATAAAAATAACATGATCCTCTTAATAGATGCAGAAAGACCCTTTGGCAAAATTCAACACTCTTTTATAATAAAAACCTCAAAAAATTAGGAATAGAAGGAAATTGCCTCAACATAATAAAGGCCATATTGAAGAGTTCACAGCTAACATATGCAATGTGCACAATTTAAAAGCTTTTCAACATAGCACTGGAAATCCTACAGCAATTAGGCAGGAAAAAGAAATGCAAGCCATCAACTCTGAAAGGAAGAAGTAAAATGATGACTTTTTGCAGGTATCATTTTATACGTAGAAAACCCTGAAACTACCACAAAAACCTTTTAAAAGTAAATAAATTCAGCAAATTTACAGAATACAAAATTGACACACAAAACCAGTTGAATTACTATGAATTTATAACATAATCCAAGAAGAAAATTAAGAAGACAATTTCATTTATAATAGCATCAAAAAAAAAAAAAAACAGCTTAGGAATCAACTTAACCAGGATGTGTGCCGTAATTCTAATGTGATTTGTCCCTGCCAGAACTCATGTTGAAAATTAATTGCATGTGGCAGTGTTGGGAGATGGAGCCTAGTGAGAGATATTTGGGTCATGGAGGTGGATCCTTTATGAATAAATTAAATGCCATCTTGCAGGAATGAGTGAGTTCTCACTCTTGTGGTAATAAAAGAGTTCTTGCAAGAGTAAGTTGCTATAAGGCAAGGTTTTCCCTTGTGTTTGGTCCCTTTTCACACAAACCTGCTTCCCCTTTAACCTTACATCATGTTATTATGCAGCATAAAAGCACTCACCAGAAGCTAGTGCCCTTCAACTTCATAGACTACAGAACCATGAGCTAAATAAACTTTTCTTTATAAATTACCCAGTCTCAGATATTCTGTAATAGCAATGCAAAACAGACTAAGACAAGGTGAAAGATTTGTACACTAAAAGCTACTATGTAGCGTTGAAAGATATTAAGAGAAAGATAGGGAGGCAATCCATGTTCATGGATTGGGAGACTAAATTTTGTTAAAGTATCCATTTTACCCAAAGCCATCTACAGATTCAATGCAATTTCTATTCACATCCCAATGTTATCTTTTTCAGAAACAGAAAAAAACAATCACAAAACGCATGTGGAATCACAAAGGACCCCAAATAGCCAAAAGAATCAAGCAAAAGAAAAACAAAGCTGAAGGCAACTCACTTCCTGACTTCAAAACATATTACAAAGTTCTAGTAATCAAAAATGTATGATACTGGCATAAATACAGGCATATAGACCAATGGAACAGAACAGAGAAATGTCTAGAAATAAATGCATGCATATAAAGTCCACTGCTCTTTGACAAGATATTAAGAATACACAATGGGAAAAGGATAGTCTCTTCAACATATTGTGGTAGGGAAACAGCGGTCTACATGCAAAATAATAAAATTGAACTCTTAATTTACACCATACACAAAAATCAACTCAAAATGGATTAAAGACTTAAAACATAAGACCTGAAACTATAAAATTCCTACAAGAGAAGATTGGCAGTGGAGGGGGCTTCATAACATTGGTCTTGGCCATGATTTCTTGGATATGACACCAAAAGCACAGGCAACAGAAACAAAAATAAACAAGTGGGAATTGGAACTCACTGGCTTCTCCCTTCCTTTGCACAGTCATCTTCAATTACAGGGCTACTTAATTCTGTAGGCCAAGGCTCAATCCTAGGCTTCCTTATATCCCACTGTCTCCTTAGGGATCTTACTAAAACCAGTGACTCCAATTGTCCCTTTTTGTCTGTCTCCCACAAATTTTATCTCCAACTAGCCATTTTTTCCTGAGGTCCAAGATTATAAATCCAACTACGTATTTGACAGCTCTGCTTAGAAGTCTCAAGGACACCTATGACTCAATGTAATAGCTATCATTTACTGAAAACTTACTATGGGCCAGTATAATGAATTCCATGGAAGACAAGCTGGAGGGAGCTACAGGTGAATACCAAAGAGATTCTAGAGTTCTAACCCATTTCAAGAAGTCAGGTAAGGCGTCCTAGAAAGAATGAACTATTTAGCTAAGACCCGAAGAATAAGCATCATTAATCAAATAAAGCTGTGGGAGTGAAGAGAAGGTACCATCAATAAGAGTCATGTATCCAGAGATTCACAGTTAAAAGCTCATGGATAACGTGCTCAATTATTTAATGCAGACAGACAAACATTACCTGATTCTTCCTCTCTGTCTAGGTGCTAACCTAATGTATTTCTTTCCTTTACCATCCATCTTCTTAAAACATAAACTACATTTTCTGTTTACTTTTTTATTCTTTAGTCATAACAAATGGACTTTTAAAGTTTTGAGAATGTTCTTTTTAGGATCCTTAAACCTAATAGCTTCTTCCTAATTGATGTCTATGCATTTGAACATGCTGGCCTTGTATTGTCAGATGGTCTACTCTACTGACTCATTTATGATGTTATTACTCTAGTTCTCTTCTTCCTTCCCTGCATTGTCTCTGTCTTTTACTCTCGGTCCTCCTACTTGACTTCCCGTTAAGTGTGGTTTTTACTAAGGTTCTTTACTACAACCCTCATCATTTCTCACATTTTGCATGCTCTTGGGGCATTTTATTTTTGTTTGTGGGGGATCTCATCTTTGTCCATGATTTTATCATATATGTGCAATTCATTTTCAAATATATAGCTCCAAATTCACTGTTTTCCTAAATCCCAGATCTTTTCACTCCCACTGGTATTCTTCAATTTCACAAACTCAAAATATCCCAAACCCAACTCATATACCCCCAAAACATGCTTCTCTTTTCTATCTAATGTAATATCACCATCTGTCTCTACATAAGCTCAAAGGAGAAATTTGAGATTTAACCACAGCTACTTCTTTTCGCCACTCACAAAACCCAATTTATTAACAAATCTCTGCTGACTGTATAAATATTTCTTTAATTTTTCTATTTTCTCCACCCCAAACTTCCTTAACCACAGATCAAACTCTCATTATTTTGGCTTCAGATGTTTTATAAACCAGCTAAAATTGTACTTAAAATATTAAATATGTCTTTTTCTCCTTTTAATTTATATTTCAAACAAATAAAAGTACATAAAATGTGAAATATTTTGACAAAAGATCCATAGATATTATCACATTCCAAAATGGGTCAATGATCTCAAGGTAAAGATCACCTATCTAGACCAATCCTATCTCCAAACTTAATTTTCTCATGACCCTCAATTTAAAAAAACAGAGTACACAGCAATATATGTCTGTTAATTTATAAATGATGCATATATATTATGCCTAATCTGTATAGGCAATATTACAAAGGCTAATTTCTTTTTTTGAGATGGAGTTTCACTCTTGTTGGCCAGACGGGAGTGTGATGGCATGATCTCAGCTCACTGCAACCTCCACCTCCTGGGTTCAAGAGATTCTCCTGCCTCAGCCTCCCGAGTAGCTGGGATTACAGGCGCCTGCCACCACACCCAGCTAATTTTTTGTATTTTTAGTAGAGATGAGACCAGTTGGTCTCAAACTCCTGACTTCAAGTGATCCACCCACCTTAGGCTCCCAAAGTTCTGGGATTACAGTTGTGAGCCACCACGCCTGGCCCAAAAGGCTAATTTCTTAAGTAAAAAATAAAGCATTAAAACAAATATTAGTTCTAATATATTTTTACTTTATTACAGTGGACCAGGTTTGAGCATACTATTATGGAAACCCTGACTTAGATAATAAATTCAAATCTAACCATCCTTCCTTTACCAGAGTTATCTTTTACTACCTTAACTTTTTGCTTAAACTGTTAATGTTTACCCATTGTCTACTAAGATAAATTAAAAATACTTATCAAAACATATAAGACTGCTGCAACTTTCTCATAATCAGTTTTCTAGCTTCATCCTCCCCCTGACTTTTTCTTTGTACTTTTTCTTTTACTCACCCATTCCCTAAATACATTGAGAATTCTCACCCATTTTTGATTTTGCCCATGATGCTCTCTCCATATCAACCTGTCAGCTTTTGGCCAAATATTCTAACCATCTCTGAGCCTTCTGCTTCTCCTCCAAGCTCTCCTTTCCTAAAATGAGGAAGGTGATGTGGATCATCAGCACTGGATTCTCCATAAACATTTTTCAGCGACTGTCCACCTTCTGCTCCTTTGACCACACAAAGGGTAACAATATCATCTTATACTTCTCTTTTCATTTATATGTGCTTGTGTATTTTATTAATACACATATCCAATACAGTCTTAGACTGCAGAACTGTAAGTAAGCTTAAAGAGTAGGTAAATCAATGCCTTTATTTTTACAGATGAGGAAACTGAGGCTCAGAGAAACAAGAGAACTTACTGGACAGCTTCGTTTATATATTCTGTAGCCTGTTCTACCAAATTGCATTTCCTTATGTTTTTCTTACCTATTAAGCCAATAAAATATGGGCTATTGAAGGAAAACCTTTACTCTCTTGTATCCTCTGAGATTAACTCCACGAGCAAGAGTATAGTAGACCTTTGTCACAGCTGTATCCTCAGAGAGTATATCTGTTTTTATTTCTTCAATGCACCCTCTATTAAAATTATAAGTTTTTAGCGATAATAAATACTAAACATAGACATATATTTGAGATCAGTAAATGCAAATATTAATTCATATAAATATAACTGCTATCTTTGTATATCCATATTCTTGAGTCTAAACTTTCTTCACATTCAGAGATTAAAGTCTCTTCAGCATTTTTGCCTTTCGGTAGGCACATGGATCCTCAGACCCATAATCACAATATTGATCTCTTCATTACTCTTGAATGACAATGTAATTTCACAATATATAAAGAATTCTGGATTTTCCCTGTGTTTTCTACTTGGTTAAACTAATTTTTTATATCCCCCCCAAATTCATTCAGATAGGCTTGACACGAAGAGTACTGATATTTTGAATTTCATGTCATCTTCTCGTTTGACAATGGTAGGAGATGATATGATGTGGTCTTTGCATTTTTGCATATCCCATGGATCTAGTCTAGGAGATTTGACAGTTTCTACGTGATTCTTATGTGTACATAAGGACTTGCTCTAAGATATGGCCACATAGGGCTATCTTTTCAATAAATACTTCTTGAATGAGTAACTAAGAGCAAGAAGAGTTGGGCTATAATTCTCAATCCAACTTCTATCCCTACTAGGTCATGTTGAAGTGCCTCTGTGAACGTAATTATGCTCATATTGCGGCAATGGGTCCTATTAAATTGCTCTGTGTTCTGGGCTTTACATAGCATAATACCCCAGATAAGATTATAGTTAAGACCTTCTTAGTATTAATAAAGAAACCTAAAGGGTAAGCTTGTTGCTAAAGCCCTAATAAATCTTAATGTCAATCAATGACAAGATGCAAAAGTCACAAGCCCCCAACAAGAACAGTTTTTTCATCTAAAATATCCATATCAAAATAATGGCATATCTCAGATTCTTGTAAGAATCAATATAAAAAAGAAGAGAGAAAGTGGAGCCAATAAATGTTTAAGGAAGGAGATAACGGCCAAAGGAAGCAAGAAGGAAAGACAAGTTTCAGCAGGAAAACTTGTTTATTAAACTTTTATGTTTTCATTGAAATGTACTATTACCCATTATATGTTTGATTATTTTTAAGGTTTTTGGTGTTTAGAACATCTCTGAATCATGATGCTGACCAAAAGCCCATGCATTTGAGTATGGTCTAAAGAAAGAATATAAGAACAGTGGAAGGCAGACTGAGCCATGTGAGAGGGCAAGCAACCAGGAAAATATGTTGTTGGACTCATGTGCAGCCCCAGGACTTCTCCTGTCCCTCAAAATGTTTGGCTGGAACCAAGTTGTTTTGAGCAAGCGTTCCTTAAAGGTATTTGTCTTCTATTATTAATTGCCCCACATGGGCACTGTCAGGCCACCAGTAACTTCCAAAACTTTAATTTCAGATGAGTAGGCAAGGGGAAAGAATTTCAATGTCACCCAGTTTGGAAACAGAAGGTGGTTTCCTGGGTCTTCAATACCAGAACAAGTGTGTATTTTGTGAACTGATAGGAGACCACAGATATTCAAAGATTCAAGATGATGCAAAGCAGATTTTATGTGCAGGGATTTTTTATGTCTTTAAAGAGAATACTATTGACACTCAGTTTTACTTTCAGAGAAGACTAGGATTTAAATGGCAATGGTATACTTCCCCTCTTTATATCATTTTGGGGCAAAAATTATCTTTGTCCAAATATTCAGCTAGCAATGTCAAAGGATAAAAGTAAAGAATGCCTAATATCCAAAAATAAAAATATAGTGAATACTGTAGGTTAAGTGGAGGAAAGCTATTAGAAAGAAACTCAGAGGGTTGCAGCCAGGGAGTGACAGTAAGAAGGCAAGTATACCAGCCTCTGTCATTTTGACAGCAATTGACTAATTTGCTCCAGGTTTTCTTGAGGTTTCTTTCAGTGTATTTATAACCATAAAAGCATTTCTTTTGGTCCCAAGATAAAAAAGCTTTTTACGCAATAGTGCATATTTCTAATGTTTCCATTGTCAAAACTGCCATCAAAGAGGGTTAGGGGAAGGAATGTCACCAACGCTATGAATCGGATTGGGCATTTGCTTTACCAAAGCGCTGGTTCAGAACTTAACCTAATTCCTATTGCACAGTTGATAGTCGACAGAGGGAAAAATGCTTTTTGAATGATTTCATCTTTTCTGATACCATGAAGAAGGAAAATATTTTAGACACCAATGTCCTAGGACATTTTATTCTCTAACCTGGTACCCAGAACTCATGCATGCATACTAGATTAGACACAAGGGAAGAGGCAGATGTCCAAAGGCTTAAGCGAATTCAGATGTTTTTTCTGTTTTTTATTAATACTGTACTCCAGCTGTTACATCTTTATACTGGTAAAGTCTCAATCAACACACAGGGTGAAATAGCAGAAGGTAGAGGTGTTCTGGAACATCAAAGGGCCAAAATGATATTTTGCACAAAATTAAAGATAACACCTAAAAACTGGGACTGGAAATTTCCACAGGTTGGCAGTTTTCAGAAGGAAAGAGTTACTGAACCTTATCCTCCTACTGGAAAATTAGATAGCAGTCTCATGACTCTACTGACCATTGGGCAATCCCCCATTGTCCTTAAATAAGATTGTGCCCAAGAAAATAAATACCAAAAGAGAGATAAAGTGAAAACATACATTTTTTTAAGCCTCTCTCACACACAAATAAAGTAGACCACAAGAATGAACAAAGTTTAACAACAGCAAAACAAATTAAAAGAAGTACCAGCCTTTGCTTTCCTGGAAGCTACATGATGCCCAATGATGACAAGCGAGATGTTCATTTTTAGTCTAAGAAATGTTTTCCTAGGACAGCTGGAGGGCATGGCTCAGTGGTCTGAACATCTTGTTTGATGTACCTAGACTCCTTGGAGCCATGTGCTGGAGTACTGGTGTGATTTGCTTAACTCTTCAGTAGAACTAAACAGAATTCCCAATTCTTTAGTGTGTGGTTCTCGGGAAGTTTGGGGAGAGATGCACTCGCCCTGGTTCTGCTTGGAGATAAAAGAATGCAAAGGATTAAACTTGACACTTTAGCCCCAAGTTACTTTCTTTTGATTGCTTACTGTCACTGGAATACCATATTTGTTGTTTATGTAGGGTCTTTCATTTAAGGATTTCAAAGTAGTCGCTGACACGGTCTGATGGCAGAAATGAACAATGTTCATTTAAGAATGAAAAAAATGAGACACCAGAATGCCACAGTAAGTTAAAGGGAAAGAGAATAATGAAATTCAGTTCACACATTGGAATGTGCACTCATTTTTTAGGACAGAGTTTTCTGGGGGAGGATACAGGTCAGATCAATGTGCATCTTGCATCATAAATAAAGAATTCAGTAAAGTGCTATCTCCAGTAAGGATAGTGATCAATCTGAAAGAAAATAAATTTAATAGCATTTTTGAGCCTTAGTTGTTTAATTTTCAAAATGATAGAAATAATACCCACCTATCCAGGTCCATGTAAGAATAAAATGACATCTGAGAATGGGCTTCACACATAATATGTGATCCAAAAATGTTACTCTCTTTTTTATTTTGACCCACAAGTATAGCATTATATAGTAAGCCTTTAAGACCTTCTTATCCCCACAACAAGAGGTGTGGAAGAGAGTATTTTTAGAGTCCTGATGGCTGAATCAAGTAATCTGGAAGTGACAAGCAGAGCTTCCTTCGCTTGTGCTGTCCTCTTTAACACAGCACAGCCTCCATTCTCTTATTCATTCCTTTACATATTCAATACACATTGAAGTGCTTGTTACGTGGTAAGTACTGGGGATAGCAAAGGCAATAAGTCAGACCCTCACAAGTGGTTTAAGAGTCTAGTGAAGACAGACATACTTGTATACAAATAATTACAAGGCAGAAAGATGAATAACACAACAAACTAAAGACAGCCAGAATATGACACATTTTCTTTTACTTACCAGTGTGTTCTACCCATATCAGTTGTTCAGGAACATATTTTCTGCAGTCAGCTATTAATAATGATCACAATTAGCATATAATCTCCTTTATCTGCTATACAACACAATTGTTGTCATCATTCATCACAGTGTTGTTGAGAGAATTATGTGAATTATTTCCATATCAAGCACTTAACACAGTGGCTGGCACATATAAAGCATTCATCAATATTATTCCATTATTATAATTATCATGGTGATATCATAATCTGAACATCATCATTATGTCATCATTAAGAATAGAAACATGTTGTGTTCCAACAAGCTTAAAAATGAGGTAAGGTCACTCGGGATGGATATGAAGTTAAGGTCTAGTCCCATATATACAATCAAAAGAGTCCTCAGATAACCCATAGACGCTTGATTTACTCAACCCCAACCTCAGGTCCAAGAGTGAAAGAGTCTTTGTATTACAGCTATTCACAAAGGTAAATTAAGTGAACAGTCACCTTAAAGGGCATTTCAAAAGACCTCCTAACAAATTCCTCTCAATTATATGTACTGCAGTTCTCTGAAATTCCTTTAGCAGGATATTCAGCTTGATAATGATAAATACCCTTGGAGAAACCAAACATATCTCTAAAGCAGTGGTCCTCAACCAAAAGGATATTTTTCTCCCTCTCCCCCAGAGGACCAATGTCTGGAGACATTTTTCATTATTACAACAGGGTAAGAGGAAGTGGACAAAATACAGGTGGTACTAGCATCTAGTAGGTGAAAGCCAGAGATGTTGCTGAACATTCTTCTATGCACATGATGGACCTCTCAGAATTATCTGGTCTAAAATGTCAGTAGTAACAAAGTTAGAAAAACGTTGCCCTAAAAAATATGTACTTATTTAGACCTACTTAGTTAGACATTTCTATTCTTTATCCTTGTACCATAATTTCACAGCATGATGTAGTATGTGATTGAGCTATGTCTTCCTGGAACAAGAATAAATGGTGGGATATGGGTTGGAGAAGGGATGATAAGCAAAGGACAATTACTTCATAAGGAAGCACAAGAAAGGAATTCAGAAGTGAAAATATTCCTATTTCCTATTTTACCCAAAAGCAATCTCAATGCCTTTCCTTGCAACAAACATTTTTAATGGTGTAGAATGAGCACATGTAAGTGCTTCATAAATTCCCTCTAGATGATTAATTTCCACTGTAAGTCCATGTCGCATTTTGTCATGTCCCTGAGGAAGATCACACTAGGCTGTTGAAGATTCAAGGGTTTGTATAATCGAGCATCTGCTGTGTAGAAGGCACGGTTCTAGATGCTTGAGTTATCAGTGTGAACAAAGCAAAGACACCTCTCCACGTAGAGCTCACATTCAATCAAGTTTTAAGTAAAGTTCAAGGAATTCTTGAACTTGAATGCCTCTACATATGGCATTATAGTTTTCCATCCTATTTATCTCTCTTGACTCAAAAAAAGAGAAATCAGTTCTAAGAAAGTTTTTACCTCCCTTAGATATTAATCTATTTCCAAGGCAACAAAGAAAAATAGATTGCAGGAACAAGTCTATCTTTTGCAGATCATTGGTTACATAAGGTTTGTAGTTTGTAAGAAACCAATATGAGGAAGACATCCAAGCCTGGGTAAGTTACTCCGGTCCAGGTTAAAAGAAACATAAGTGGAGGATTAAAAAATCTATTCTACCTCTTGCCATGTCTTAGGAGAAAGGCTTCTACAACAGGACAACTAGTAGCTTTTGAAATAGCCTGCCATGACTGTGTTAATGGTAAAAAATCACTTAAGCATTTAGTTTTTATCTGCATTACATTTGAAAGCACAGGGCCATTTACTCTGAATTCTCTCTGATTATTATCAGTAATAGCATTTAATCAGCCCTCCTATAGTCCCAGTCTTGGAAGATCAACGACAGCTTGGACTTGCCCTGTTCTTGTCCTATAAAATCCTGGAATGTATTCAGGCAGATAAATGTTACCTGCTTCACAGTTCTGTGAGGATCAGTACCCACAGAGGCAGCAATGTCACTGGGAGGTTTTGTGGGATTCTCCTGTCCCCATATTTTTCTAATAGACTTTTACTCATTTGAATGCTATTTTGAACTACGGAATTATTTTCATGCCTCTAGACTCTGCATTACATGTAGGAAGGGACTGTGATTAAATTATTTTTCCTTAGCAGCACCTAGCCAGTATCTGGTATCCATAAATATCAGGTAAGTACAATTAACCAATGGATTTATTAGTACATGGATGGAGCAAGAAGATGGCAGCCCAAGAAATCCTGAAAACCCCAGAAAAACAGAAATCAATTATTAATAAGCTTATTGGACATTTCCTTTAGGCAGAAATCTAGGGAAAGCTCCTCACAGCTTGTACCTCACATTCCTTATCCTGGTAAACATTAGTAGAATTAATACCCTTTTCTTTCCTCTGCTTCTAAAAGCCAAGTACTTAATATATTTATGAATAGACATTTATTTGTGGAGCTTATAAGATGGATGGAATTCCATGAAGAAAAGCAAAAAGGATTTGCACTAGAGTCTGATGATAAGACCCTGAGGTCTTATTCCACTGAGGAATATGGTACTTCTCATTCTGTTTCCTGGCCCCCTACAGGGCTTCTGCAAACCAGAAACCCCAGTATCCCCTGGAGCCACCAACAACATGCATTTGAAATCCTTTGGTTCTGTGGCTTGGTCTAGGACCCAACTTAAGCAAAGAATGCCACACATTTATAGTAGCATTTATATAGGACTATTTGTATCTTACATTTCACTTCTGTAATTATTATACTCTCTAAACGAAATAGAGTGGTGAGGCTCATGTCAAAGACTGTTCATAAATCATTAAAAACAAAAGAAACATGATGCGAAGTCTTGAGCCTTCTACCTCACAATAAGCCTCAGAGTATAATTCATTACTTCTAAGCTTTGCACCCAGGAGCGCTGGATACCCTATGGCTGTACCGAAAGAGTTCCTGGAGGCCATCAATCAGGCCACACAGGTTACTAGTTTCTGTTCCACTTTTAGGTCTTCCCACCATTGCATAACACTCATCCATTGGGCATTTTTAAGTTCAAAAATCTGTGATATCTTCCAGCAAGGGATCAGAGTATATGCTATGTGGTTTAAGGTCCTGACATGAGGAATCCACAAAGCTAAGTTAAACCAAATGCCTGTGCCTTTCATTAAGATGTTTTATATGGCTCTGAGAGGCCAAGTCTAAACTTAACCTTTCACATAAGTCCAGGATTTAACTTCTACTAAATCAATCTATGTGATCAAAGACTTTCAATGATCAGAGAAGACTGAAGAAAAAAGTGGATGGAGTAATTAGGTCTTGAAATGAGTAATTTGTATGAGATCAGAGAAAGTTGGAGAAATAATTTTAAAAATTAGGTAAGGGTGGGGATTCAATGTTTTACTTGTTCATTTTTGTGGTTTAGGGAGTGATGTTTGAATGGCAGATCACTGTATAAGTGATCACAAAATCAATTTAGTGGAGCACCAGCCAGCATTTTTCTAATCAAATAGGCAATTTTGAGAGACATTTTGCATGTGTGCAGTTAGGGGTCACAACATAAAATGTGTTTCTATAAAAAGTCTGAAGCCCATTGACCTAGAAGATGTATACTGTGTACATTATGAGGTGGGAGAAGCTTTTTCAACTTTTTTTGAAACTTTTTTGGAACAAGTGAACACTGTCATTTCCTGACCTGAATTAGTACAGCCCTTCTTCCCTCCAAAGGAGTCAACCGGTCTGTTGATTAGTTTCCCTGTTCTGCAGGATGGGGCAATTGCTATAGGTGAAAGAAGGTTGCCACATGGCCTTAGGAAGTATCTTAAACTCCCTATAGATGTTCCTTCATCTAAAAAATTGGGAACACTATCACCTACTTCATAGAGTTTCAAAGTAATAACCAATGGCAAATAAAAGCATTTGACACAGTTCCTGATACAGAATAAGAAATTAATACGTTTTCTTTCCTTGTAGCTTTTTATTCAGGGGAAAAGATACCTTCTCCCATTTTCATCGTCCCTCTAAATAGACAGGGTCACCTCTCACATGCTGCCCAGAATTGGGACACTGTGACATTGTCAAATGCTTTTCTCCTGTCAAGTTAATGAAGGATTATGCCCGGCCCTTCTCCCTGGTCAGCACAGCTTGCTTGTGGAAAAATCAGAAAATATCTAAGAGTGCTGAGAACCAGCTCTGTACAAAAGCAATTTTCTCCAGCTGCTATGAGTGAGGGCAGCTGTAAATCACTCAATTCATTTGCATTTATACTGCTTTAAAAAGTGGTGGTGTTGGGGAGATGGAGGGAAACCTACCCAATGAGAAATGGTACCCCGGGACAGAACAGAAAATGTTCTCAAAATCACCTCTGTGTTTGCTCAGTGACAGGCTCTTCCCTGCCCAGAAATCAGGGGGCAGGGGCAAGACAAGGTTGTATCAAACTCTCTCCCTCATAGAGGAGCTCTCAAAATTAAAATACCTATCTCATAGAATCAATATGTACTCATTACCTTCACTTGATTTTCCTTTGCAAACAGAGGGAAAAAATTACAAAGATTGCTTAGTAGTTTTGTAATGCCTGATACATAAAACGGAATATAATACTCATACTGTTACTTGATGGCCCCATTGACTTTTGCCATCTCAGTGACATTTACTCTATCCCTGAGCAATTTAAGATAAGCTAAGCCAGCAGCTGGGGAGACCCCAGCTGTAATAAGCCTGATGTCCTTGCTTCATCGAAGAGAAAGCCCATGGGGCCAGATCCAAACATCCAAATCGAGAGAAAATATTTTCCACTACCAAGGACAGATAATCAGAGCTGTGCTAAACCCAGTCTCTGTGGCATTCTTACTTTCACATTTCTCGCTTGGGGGTAAACTGAGGTCACACAAAGAATGTCACAGGAAATTTACTGGGAAGAACCTTGCATTTTCGGAAATTATTTAACTCTGGAAATGAATATGTGTGGTCAGTGGAGACAGGCAAAGGAGGCCTGTTGGAGCAGTCTTCCTCTGAGTCGGTGCTGTCACATGACTGGAATTAGTGCCTCAGCCAGAAATATTTCCCATGTAGTAGGATCTATATTTCTTCCTGGTATTCATGGGAAATCATCAGAATTTTTTTTTATTTAAAATATTTTAAGTACACATTAAGAGAGGGAGGAAAGATTTGGAAAAGTAGATAGAGCCCAATATCAGATCTCCTCAAATGTCCAGATTTATCTTCTACACTTTCTGGGAAACAGGATGCACAGCTGTTTCACCATTTCTTCAAGAAGATTTTTTTTCCAACCACCAGTCTCAACCTTTCCTTCCTTTAAACTAAGCTTCTCAAATGAGTACTCCGTAGCTTTCATGTTCACTGTCTTCTTTGAGTTACCAATTACATCTTGCCAGCCAAATTCGATTCTCTTTTGCCCTCCCTCCCTCCCTTTGCCTCTCTCCCTTCCTATTTCTCTATATATCTTTGTAAGTCTACAGTTTTCTCACTCTCTTTTTCATTTCTGGACTTCTTATTCTTCTCTTTGATCTTGGCTTTTTACTTATGTAATTTTGGCTTCTTATATGATCTCACCACTTCTACCAATTTCAACTATAAAACGATGTCATAAAATATTATACTTTTGGTTCTTTTTTTTTCCTCCTTAACTACATTTTTACCTTCAATATGTTCCTTTCCTTCTTCCTTCATATTCAAGGATAAATCTAAAAGCCATTAGTCTCCTAAAATTTCTCCAAATGTTCTTCCCTCTGTCTGGAATGTCTCCTTCTCTCTCCAGGCACATGAACACTAGAATTCAAACTCATCCCTCAGGACTCAGGTCAAGGAAAATGACATTGAAAAGCTACAAACAGAAAAGGCTGATCTTTTTGCCATATGAGGAGGAATAAAGATATTCTTAGATACACAAGAAGTAAAACAGTACACTCTAAATATATTTCTGTGTAAAGACCTTGAAAAATTTATTAAATAAGCAAAACTGAATCTGAGAAATAAATACCTCAAGAAGAGAGAAGACGTGATGGAGGAGAAATAGTGGTAAGTTATGAACAAGTAAGACTGAGAGTGCATCTAAACAATTGCTCATAATGTCTGTGAAATTAACTGCTTTTTTAAAAATTTGAAGTGAGAAATATAAAATACAGTTATAATAATGATAAAAGCAACCTGAAGCTAAAATTTTCAATTATTTCAGCAAAACCTGAGCGGTGCACTGAGAAAAGGGTGAGACTAGCAATGTAGGAAGTTAAAACAGGCTAAAATCTAAAGTTCTGTTGTTCAAAAAGAGAAGGCTATTAATGCTGTAATTCTTCATTTTGATAGATAATTCAAACATGTCTGTTAAATATTTAAGAATAACTATTACCTGAATATACAGGAGATGTATACTTTCCAAACCACTTAAGGAACAAAGAAGAAACAAAGAAAATTAATTTAATTAAGGAAAGGGGGGCTGGGAGATAAAATTTAAAATGTGATATGCATAATTTAAATAAAATCAAGTGAAATAAAATAATATCCCCCCACAAAGGGATCAAACAGAAGTCATCATTAACATAAATACAATTTACTTAGTAAAAATAAAGAATTGTATTTAGGTTAAAACATAGCTCTTTGCTATTTCCAAAGGAAACATAAAACAGAATGACAGAAGAAAGTTAAAAATAAAATCTAGGAAAGAATGCATTAGTAAAATAAATTCTTAAAAATTAGAAATGATAATACTAGCTCAATAAAAGTATGTGTAAATAACACTGCTGGCAACCCATGTATGAAGAAATACAAATGGCCAACAAATTTGAAAATATCCTCAGCCTATGTTTTAAGAAATTCAAAACAAAGTGATAAAGAGATACAATTTTGCATATATCAGATTGGCAAAGATTTAAGTGTTTGAGAATATCCAATGTTTGCCAATACGGAAACAGGCCCACTTAAACATTATTTTGGCTACTACAAACTAAAACAAATTTTTAGAGTGCAATTTGGCAGTGGCTTTAAAATTTTTTGTACATACACTTTGATATAGCCATTTTATTTCCAGGAATTCAACCTATGAATAAAATTATACAATGATGCAAAGATATTCGTTGCTGCATTTTTTTAGGGTAAAAGGGTCCCTATGTTCATGAATAGTGGGCAAAATAGATACATTTTTATACATCCCTACAATAAGATCTCAGAAAATACTTTAAAAGAATGGATTATATCTACATATACTAATATAGGAAAATGTCTAAGATACATACGGAATGCAAACAGTTAAGTTCATAACAATGCATTCATACTATGATTCCATTTGCAATTTTAATGGGAACATATAGATTACATCTAATTTTATCTATAATTTTTTGCACCTTTGTGAGTTTATCAATTAGGGAAACATACAAAGTCGTATCTGTTTTTCCAATCATCAAGCCTTAAATATCTTACCAGTAGAAAACCTAGTATCTTCGTGATGCCTCCCACCTCCCTAGCATTAAATTGTAAGAGCATGGGGTCTTTCTCAAGCCTGCTTCCAAATACCAGGCAGAGAGCATTGCAACATCTGACCAGTTCCTCACCATCAGCACTTTTGTCTCTGCCACAGAGCGTTGCTCTTAAACATTGATCTCTATACAATCTGATGGTCATTTGTTCACTTCCGTATTTATGCCTGGGCTGGTACAGAGTCCCAAAGTCTGCAGTAGTGACTGCTTTGCCCTCCAACAGTACAGATCTGTTAGTGCACACTCATATGCTCAGATCTCATGCCCAAATCATAGGAGTTTGCCAGAGTGTTAGGGCCATTAGAGCTCCCAGTCTCAGCCACAGTTGGTGCATGAAAGAGTTCCCATTCTTTCTGGGGATCCAAGCTCTGCTACAGAGCTGTGGTCAGCAATTCAAAGGACCTCCCGCACCTGATACACCACTCACAAGCAATCTCCTTCCCAATGACCACCTTCTGAGGTTCTTGGTGTCTTCTGATTCCAATAGATCTGAATGAGACAATCTCAAGTCACCAGAGAAATCAGAACAATACAGAACCACAAAAATGAAGAGGTCAGAGGTCTGGCCTTTCTCCCATATTTGAACTTAACAATATTCTCACTAGCACTCTTGCATACCCCTCCACCAGGGCAATGGGTGGCTTACTTTTACATAACCACTTGAATGTTTCCTTAATAATAAAATTTCCAAAGTGTCATGTTGTCTTTAACTGTAGACATAGAAGCTAGCATACACACATGTATACACACCCACATGCACAACTTTATCATAAACATGGGTCTCTTTACTGACTATTCAGTTCTATCGAACTGATTGATTTATTACTGTGACAAAACCATATTGCTTTAATTACTGTGGTTTTATAGTATGCTGATATATGGTAGGGTATGTTAATTCATATTTCAATGTTGTTTTCAAATATTCTTGCTTGTTTTGTCCAATTCATCTTTTTCTGGAACTTTAAAGACTTCTCACCAAGTTTTATAAAACACCATTTTAGGAATTTTAACTTTGTGTTCCACTGGGTTTTAAAAATAGTTTTTTAAACAATTGGCATCTTTAAGATACCGAATCATTCTTTCCAGGAACATAGTATATCTGTCTTTAGTCATTAGTACAGTTTCATGGTTGTCTTCAAACAGATCTTGTACCCTTCCTATTAGTTATTTTATAATTTTGTTACTACTGTGAATGGGACTGTTTATTATATTTGCTTACTGCAAATATTGATTAGGAAAGCTACTGATCATTTTATGTTGATATTGTAAAAATCCACTTTACTATTCTTTTATTATTGTGGCTTTAAATTTTTCTTGAATTTTCTAGCAAGATATATTGGTTTATTAAAGGTGAAAATTGACCTCTTTGCCAATCCCTGTAGCTTTTATTCAATGATTGTCTTCTTGCTATATTGGCTGTAATATACACCACTAAATAGTATTGAGTATGGCAAGCATTCTTGTCTTATTTTTGGGTGTTTCTGTTAGAAATGTTTCAGCTATGAGTAACTGAACTAAAATTTCCCTTCCCTCTCTGGTCTCTTCTTTTATAATTAGGAGTCCGTAAGTTGCTGGTTACGATACAACTGCTTAATAAAACTGCCAAAACTGAGTCAAGCTGTTTATATTTTTCTCTGCATCACTGTTACTATGTTGTTTTTTTTTTTCCTTTAGGCTCCTTACTTTTTGGTTGCAAAATGGCTCTTTCTCATAATCAAGGCAAAAAGATGAAAGACAAGTAGGGACTGTCTGGTACCACCTTTTATCAAGAAAGTGAAAGATACATTCTCAGAATGCACAGGAGACTTCCACCAACAATTAAGCAAACAGAACTTGATTATATGATCAGCCCTAACAGCGACAGAGGCTCAGAAAATGAGTATTCAACTAGACCTTGACCCCTAGAAAGGACATTGATGTTTTGCTAGCAAAAAAAATGGGTAATGAATAATGGGTAGACAACTAATATTGTCTGCCACACTGACTTTCTAAGGGATGTTTAGTGTCTCGGTAATTGTTAGGATGTGTACTGTAATTTTGTGATACAGAGTTTTATCAGCCTGAAGGGCTGTTTTCTATTTTTAACTTGATGAGGTTTTTTAATATCAGAAATGAATGTTAAATGCTATCAAAACCCTTGTGGCGTCTATGAGAAGATAATATAATGTATTTGTTTTTTCAATTAATATGTTAATTTCAAGTAATAGATTCCAATTGTTGAATCATTCTTGCAATCCTGGGATAAACCAAGCTTGGAATGTGGTTATTCTGTTAATCCATTATTGCATTTAATTTGAAAATAGCATACTCATATTTTTTGCATTGATACTCACAGTGAAATTGATCTATTTTTTCTTTATGCTATTCTCATCCAGTTATTTTCATGAGAGTTATGTAGCCACATAGAATGATTTAGGGAACTTCCTTTTCCATTTGAATAGTGTCAATAGAATTCTCTGTCCCTAAAAGATTTGAAAGGACTCTTCTTTCCAATAATTTGGGATTGGTTGCCTTCTTAAGGTGATGAATCTATAATTATGTTTTCTGTTTTCCCTTGTTTCTTAATATCTTCAGGTTTTTCTGTCTCTTCCTGAGATAGTGGGTTTTTTGGTTTTTTTTTTTTTTTTTTTTTTTGGCTTGTGAAGTGATATGCTTTATCTTCCATTTCTTTTCCTAATATATGTATTTTGTTAAAAACTGCACCAAACAAAGATGTTTCAATGACAGACCACATATAAAACCATGGTCCCAATAACATTAAAATGTCATGTTTTTACTGTACATTTTTTATATTTAGATGTTGCTTGATACACAAATACTTACCTTCTGTTATAATTGCCTACAGTGTTCAGTACAGTAACATGCTGTACGGTATTGTGGCCTAGGTGTGCAGTAGGCTACACCATCTAGGTTTGTGTCTATGATGATGGCACAATAACATTGCCTAATGCCACATTTATCAGAATGTATCCCCTCATTAAGTGACACAGGGCTGTATTTCCTCATCAGTTTTGATGTTCTGCTCACATTTTCATTTTTCCCAAATAATCAACATTTATTTATCCATTGAATTATTTAATTTTTAAATTCACATTAATAGTAGAGGGCATTTATTTTTATTTTGTTATTTTTAAAAGTGCCTGCTTATTGTTTTGTGCTACCTAGCATCCAGCCGCCCCTTTAATTTTCAGGTTAGCATGTGTTGTGTGGGTCCCAGTGGACTGGCCTTGTCGTTTCTGCTCACCTCAGGATAGTTATGGAATGTTCATGACATAGACTTAGCCAATTCAATGTTCTTGTCCTAGATTTTGAATACTGAAGGAGGAACAAAGTGTAGGGACAGTTGAAGTGTTTACAGTGGTAAGGGCAATGATGTGGAGAGTCCAGAGGTGAGGGCTGCAGCAAGACTACAGTAGTGGCAAGTGTCTAATAATAGCAATGCACAATGTGACACACGAACTAGACCTTGATCATCTTTCCTGATGTCTGATCTGGACTCTGTTGCATCTGGCCTGGTTCTCCAGCCTATAGTTGATTCTGCAAGCTCCCTGCTATCCTTCCAATACACTTCTCTACTGCTTAAAAGAGTCATAGTAAGTTCTGTTGCTTGCAATCAAGAAGTTTTTATTCGTGATTTATAATTTCCTGTTTTATAGCTAAATGTTGTCTATAAAAATTCTTCTTTATGGAAATTTATGGAGATTATTTTTCTTTGGGGCCTAACATAGTCAAATTTTATTAACAGTACATTGTTTGCTTATTCTCAGTTTATTAAACACAAGATGTTATGTATCTCACTTGTTTCTAATACAAGTCTTTTTTTTTTTTTTTTTTTTCCTATTTGGTTTATTAGTTTCTGAGATAAGTGGGTTTAGGTCTCAGATTGTTGTTGTAAATCTGGCCAGGTCCTGACCATCTCATTGGAGTATTTTCAAATGTTAGTATCTGTAGGCGTTTCTCTTGGACCAGCTTCTCCAGGGAAGCATCTTCCAGTTCCTTGCCAAGAGATATGTAAGGCTGACTGCCAGCATGCTGGATGAAGAGTATTAAAAGAGGGCCAAGAACATCCCCACTAGAGATGTATGTTCTTTCAATCCTCCTACTTGTTATACAACGCTTAACCTCTGGCCAAAGACAGGGCATCCTCACCTCTTCATATGAATAACATCCTGTGTCTTCTGAAGTATTTAGGAAAGTGAGAATCTAGTTATTTGGGAAAGCAGGAGGGATGCTAAGGTTTAACTAATTATTACGCAGACTTCAACCCCCTGATTTTAGTGGTGTCTCTCGCTTCTTCCTGCCCAGCTTTTTCAGGGTTCTATGATTCAAATAGCCTTGCTTCTAGTTTTCATTTCCTCCACAGGCCCTCCAATGCATTTCAGCTTTCTCCAAAATGCAAAACAGGTCCCACTTATCCAACTGCTTTATTTTGTCCCAAACCCACTGACATCTCTAATTCATAGTCTCCCTCAGCTCTCTTTCTCTTTGGAGAGAGAGCGGGAGAGAGAGCGAGAGAGCCAGCGAGAGCCAGCGAGAGCCAGCGAGAGCGAGAGCCAGCGAGAGCGAACGAGCGAGAGCGAGCGCGCTGTATAGATACATGGATATATAATGATGTTTTTAAAGTAGGTTTTTATTAGGGAAGGGAGATGTTTCTTTAGTTTCTTTCTTGCTCTCTTCTTGTCTTCTTTTGTAGTAATAGTAGTTTTATTTTCTCTTTTCCAGTTTATATAGTTTTTTTTTTTTCTCTGAAGGTCAGACAGGGCTGAGAATAAACTAAGAAAGAGAGACACCTGGGGTGTAACATGTAAGGAGGCACATGCTGTCAAGTCCTGACCCTGCTCTTCATGACCCTGAGAAAGAATGCCTCCTCATACCTTACAACCTAGCTATCTCCTGCCTTTCTTACCCTCCTCCTGACTCTGCTGAGGGCATTTCCTTGTCTACAGTGCAGTTAAAGTAGAGAACCAAACAGAAAATCATAGATAGCATTACTGGTCTCAGAAGTCAGATGATGGAATTGGAGCCTGCCAGCGTAGCTAAGTGAATGGAGTTTAAGAAAGTTTAAGAAAGAAAGGAGTCACAGAGGAGGACCTACAAAATCTGCATGCAAACTTCCCACAAATTCTTTGTGGACCCTGAACAACATATGCATGGGATGAGACTCCAAGGAGCCCAAGACAAGATTGACTGCCCCTCAGGGAATTATAACAGGATCCAAAGTCTCTAAAACACATAATCTATAATATTCAGATAAAGTATCTTTAGATTTGCAAAAACATGACCTATGATAAAAAGAAAAAAGAGTTAATAGGAATAAAACTACAAATGTCCCCCAATGCTCCAGATCAAGTTAAGAAATAAGGACTTTAAAGTAACAGTGATAAATATGTTATAGAAGCTATAGAAAAAGATTGGACAAAAAAATGGGAAATTTCAGGACAATATAGAACTTCATATACTCTAAATATATTCCATGTATTGAAACTAAATAAGAACAAAATGAAAATTCTAAAATTATTATTTTATTTTACTTTAAGTTCTTGGATACATGTGCAGAACATGCAGGTTTGTTACATAGGCATACATGTGCCATGGTGGTTTGCTGCATCCATCAACCTGTCATTTACATTAGGTATTTCTCCTAATGCTATCCCTCCCCTACCCCCCCACCCGCCGATAGGCTCCGGTGTGTGATGTTCCCCTCCCTGTGTCCATTTGTTTTCATTGTTCAACTCCCACTTATGAGTGAGAACATGTGGCATTTGGTTTTCTGTTCTTGTGTTAGTTTGCTGAGAATGATGGTGTAGCAACTGAAATATTTGTTGGACGGTATTTTAAGCAGACTGGACACAAAAGGAGAAAATACCAGTGAACTTGAAGACAAGTCAATAGAAAATTTTCAAATTGAAGCACATTAAACAATAAATAATTTTAAAATGCTAAGAATTAAAGCATTCAATGACAAGCAGGTGATTGTTAAGTTGTTTAACACATGTGTAATTGTAATCCCAGAAAGAGAGGGCAAAGGTAATAGGTCATAAAAAGTACTTCAAAAAATTTTGCCTGATTTTTTTTTCCAAAAATGTTCAAAAAACAGCACACCGCTAATCCAGGAAGCCTAAGCAGTTTAAATACAAAGAAAACCACACATAGGCACATCATATTCAAACTGCGAAAAAACAAAAAGAAAAGAAAAATCTTAAAAAAAATACAAGGGAAAGGGGCGCATGACATTTGGAGAAGTAGTAACAGTAATAAAGCTAACTTCTACCCAGAAACTATGGAGGCCACAAAACAAGAGAACATTAAAGTGCTGAGAAAAAAGAACTGTCAACCTAGAATTCTATATCCAGGGGAAAAATACTTCAACAATGAAGACAACATAAAGTCATTCCTAGATAAAAGCTTAGAGACTTTGTTCTCCACAAACCACATTACAAAAAAAATGCTAAAGAAAGTTCTTCAGAGCAAGGTAAAATAAAATATAACATAGAAATATAAATCTATAGGAAGGAATAAAGAACAATGGAAATGATCAGTATGTAAGAAAAAATAAAGAACTAGTTTTCTTTTTAAAAAAATTCTTTAAAAGTCAGTTGGCTCTTGGAAGGCAAAAATAATAACATTACATAGGGTTTATAATTTATAGCAATAAAATATATGACAGCACAAGAAATAGAAGTGTAAATTGAAACATTGCTGTAAGACTCTTACTTCATAAGTGAAATGATATATTAATTCAAGGTATACAGTGATAAATTAGGGGTTTATATTATCTCTAGAATGAACACTAAAATAAAATTCATAGAGGTCCTGAGAAATCAAGAAGTCATCCTGGATCACGAGGTGTCAACCAGCAATGCCTTGAGCACCAGTGGTATCATCCCAGCCCTGGATCTTCCTACCAAAGCATTAGGTCATGGCCTAAGCCTTTTTATCCTTATTAGACTCCTGAAAAAGGTGTCTATATGTAAAGAGGAAGAAGTAGGGGCATATGAGGCATTTAAGAAACCATCTTATTTCAGTCATTCTGTGAATGATACCCAGTTCACATTCTGATGGCCCTCTGTGATCTGCATAATTGTACTGCATTGTGGTTGGCATGTAATTTCTGGAGGCAGCTGGAAGAATTAGAGAAATCTTGGACATTGCTCCAGTGGTGTATGAGAACCATTCAGTTCTAGCCAGAGTAAGTTTGCTTAGTAGGACCAGCCTGTACCACTTGAGTATGACTCAGCTACACTCAGACACATGCATGGGTGAAGTATATCTAATCACTCTGCACACATGTGCCTTAGGCACTAACACAGTAGTAGTTTGGGAAGCTTCAAATATGTCTTAGTCAACTGGTTCACAGAAAGTAACAAGGAAGTAAACTTTTTTTAGCTTAGGGACTCTTATGCAATCAAAAAGTAGTTCCAATGAAAGCTATGATCTAAGAAAAAAGAGTGCTTTGTTGTAAAATGGAGTAACACTAAAAGTAGTTACAGGGACACTAGCTAACTTTGGGAAGCATTACAGATGCCTGATTTATCAGAGTTAAGAGTGAGTTAAGAGATATAATTGAGGTGCTTTAACAGTGGTAGTATCTTCAAATTTGCTTCTATATAGGTCTGTAATTATGATTATGTGTGTGAATTATAATATGTGTCCATTAAAAACAGAGAACTATGGGTCATGAGTGGAAAACAAATGAACATTTTATCAGTTTGTGTCTGTTGGAATTAAAGCCAGAAAAAGAAAGTGAAATTCTCTTCTTTTCCTCTCTCCCTCCCACTTACAAAGCATTGTTTGGTCCTTGCTCTCAAGACAAAAGATGACACTCTTGAGTTCCCATTATGGGTTAAATATTGGGATGCTGCTCATTTGTTACTATTACTTATAGCTGTCTTCCCTAAAAAGCTAACTAGTTCCAAAATTGTATTCCCTAACTGGGGAAAGGAGGTAGGGTTCTCACTTAGGTCTTATTAGAAAAAGTACTATGTCCTCTGTTAACCAGAACCTTAACTAGAATCCTTGAGAAAGTGTTCTTAAGGACTGGTTCTTAAAGAAATCATCTTCCTCAGGAAGTTGTTTTTCATCCTTCTTTTACACGTGATATTAGAGTTTTCAGTGTATTTTAGAAAGAACACTGGAATGACAAACAGTCTGAGAATGTGGATTATATCTCTGCTCCACCTTTCTGCCTTTCCCTGTGTGAGTTTGGGCAATTCTCTGCATTTTTCTGAATACCTGTTTTCTTATCTGTAACATGAAAATTTTCCATTTAAGCAGTGATACTCAAACCCTTTCAGGTCATATACTCTTTTGAGATAGGTAAAACTTTCAACAGAATAATGCACAAAGCTGGACAAATGTTTCTCCTCTTATGTTTTCTCATTATTTCCTAGAGGCTGGCATATTCTAAGATCAAGCTAATCACGAAACAGACATTTTTATAATTTAATCATTTGGTTGATAAGGGAGCTCAGTGTCTCATTGTCTTTAGGTATTTCACCCAGAAGCCAGGATTCCTGGTGTCTTGCCTTTCATTCTCCTCTGTGTACAAAAACCGGGTTCCTTTTCCTCTCCAGAAGAGAAGTAGAGAATAATCGTGAACTAGATGAAATGCCAAAACAAACAAGGAGATGAGAACTTTGGAGAAAGAGAAGAGGTTGAAGTGACCGAGGGACTGAGAGAGAAAGGAAACAGAACATAATAAGGTTATTACTGTTGACAGAGGTGGGCCTGCATGGAGTGCCTCAATTATCAAGAGAGGCCCTTTTTTTCTAAACAGGAAATAGACTGACCAATTTCTCATCACTCCTTGAACCCCATATATGGGTTGGACAATATCAGTTGAACCTTATTCATCAAGGGTGTGTATGTGTATGTATGTGACCTGATTCTACTCTTCTTTTCCTCAGGAGATCCCTAGATTCCTATGTGGAAGACCGGGATTCTAAGAGAGCTATATGTGAAACCAACCAACAAGTTGCTTTTCTGGATTTTCCAACTTCTTCCCCCTACACATCGCACATTTACACATTTAAATCCAGGGGTTCACAGACCCCTAATGTCCACCTATGTCTCTCAGAATATAGGAATTAACCTATATTAGATAATAGGTTAATTCCTACTTTTTCTAATATCCAGAGTCTATGCCTATATTTGCATAGACTTCTTTGAAGTAGAAAAGTTAGGTTTTTATGGATGGAGAAAATAAACACAAAGAGACAAAATAACTCTGTTCAATAACCCATATGGCAAATGGAGATCACTGATCACTTAAGCTCAGAGAATTGTGCTCACCTTCATTGCTTGAACTAGCTTTGCCACTTCTGAAAAAGAAATAAAGAAAAATATGGGGATTCATACTGGACAGAATTTAAGCCAACTAGAGTTGAACCAAGGAGAGCACTGAGCTGAATATTCAATAAAAATCCCAAATGACAGTCCAGGTTTTTTCCAAGGAGATCAACAACTCCAGTCACCACAGCCCTCACTGGAATGGCCAGTCTATCTTCCTACTCTACCCTGCACATTTAGTCAGTACCTGTGTGTTCCAAGGTCAATATTCTTTTTGTGAACTAAATTTCATTCTGAAGGATTTCAAATGCAACAAAAGTTGATCCACTGCAAAGATAAAAGAGCTGCTTAACAGCTGTGATAAAGGAAATTAAAACAATTGGACATTCTTTCTACTGGGAATTAAGCTGTTTTCACTAAGACCCACATGTACCGGTGCACTAGAAGAGCTGACAACAAACAAATGGAAATAAATGTTGAAGAAGCAAAATCTACCCTTACATTTAGAACTTAGAAAAAAAAGGCAAAACACTTTGAGAAAGAAGCCAATTTCTATTTTTAAAAGTCCTACTTTCCTCTTGAAGGAAATCAATTGCTCCAAAAATTCCTGTAAAACTCCTCAGTTTTTTTTTTTTGGCATAGAAATACAAATCATTTTGTAATATCAATGATATCAACTCTTATAGGTTTATTAAATATTTTTATAAAGTACAGTCAAAAGTCAAAACAAAAGTTACAGAGTAACTTATTAGTTATTGTTCATTGGACTAGCGTGTATGTATCAGGCAGGGTCTTGAAAGAACTAATCATCACATTTTACACACCAAATGTGATAATTGAAGAGAAGTTAATAAAGGAGGTATTTACAGGATATATTCTCTAGAGAAACAGACCAATAGTATATATGTGTGTGTTTGTGTGTGTATGTTTTATATGCACTTTAATCACATAGCCTGAAGGTAATTTTATAGAATATATAATATGTATATATACATATATGAGATTTATTACAATGACTTGGCTCATGAGATTATGAAGGCTAAGAAGTCGCAAGATCTGCACCCAGTAAGCTGGAGGCCCAGGAGAGCCTATTTGCAGTTCCCGTCTGGGACCAAAAGCCTGAGAGCCAAATGTGTAAGTTTCAGTCCAAAGCCAGCAGGCTCCAGGCGGAAGAACCAATGTTTCAGAATGAGTCTGAAGTCAAGAAAGCACTAATGCCGCAGCTCAAGGAGTCAGGCAGGAGGAGTTTCCTATTATGCAGTCTTTTTGTTTTATTCAGGCCTTCAGCTGATTGGGTGAAGTTCAGCCATATTAGGGAGGCTCATCTGGTTTACTCCACCAATTCAAATGTTAATCTCACCCAGAAATACCCTCACAGACATACAGAATAACTTTTGAACAAATGTCTGGACACCCGATCTCCCAGTAAGGTGACGCACAAAACTAATCACACAAGGTATTGATTGAGTTTAAGAAAACCAAGTGCCCTGGGGTTAGAAATAATATACATATCCTGATCCATGAGCAGTGAAAAGCCATTACAACTCCTGGGCCTGAAGGAGGGAGACCTTAGCACATCCTAGAGAGTTTAAGGGATACCTAGGAACTGAAGCTTTTGACAGGGAAGGAGCAAAGGAATAAATACTTCTAGAAATCAATTTCCCCTATCATAGAACAAGATAGAAAAGAATGGATATTGAACATGGATAAGCAACATATATATTGCTGGCCTAAAGCAAGAGTCATATGTGCATTCTAGAATCCACTTGGTAGCTTGAATTATAGCAATGAAGCTGCTATAAAATGAAATACAGGTACTGAGGCCTCAACCACATTTATCAAATAAGAACGTATGAGGCTGGATGCCAGAGATGAGTATGTATTTCAAGATTCTACAGGCGATTCTTTCCTACATCTCTGATTTAAGGACACTCTCTTGAAAGATGCCTGTTTTCATCTTTATCTAGTTTTGGGGATCACATCCTATTTCTAAAGCCAGCCACATGTTGAGTATCCCTGATATGAAATGCTTGGAACTGGAAGTGTTTCGAGTTTTTTGGATTTTGGAATATTTGCATATATATGAGATATTTTGAAGACAGAACCGAATTTAAACACAAAATTAATTTATGTTTTATATGTACCTTATACACATCAATTGAAAATAATTTTATACAACAGTTTTAATACCTTTGTGCATGAAACACAGTTCGTGCACATCAGAAAGCAAAAGTGTCACTATCTCAGCCACCCGTGTGGACGATCTGTAGTTGTTTGACATCACTATTTTTCCTAACTCTGAATTTACATGCTACTGATAAGCAATAAGTTCTTACACTTATTCACATATAAGTACTTAACAGTAAAAAATATGACATACAGGCCGTGAGCGGTGGCTCATGCCTATAATCCCAGCACTTTGGGAGGCCAAAGCAGGCGGATCACAAGGTCAGGAGATGGAGACCAGCCTGGCCAACATGGTGAAACCCCGTGTCTATTAAAAATACAAAAAGTTAGCCAAGTGTGGTGGCATGTGCCTGTAGTCCCAGCTACTCAGGAGGCTGAGGCAGGAGAATCGCTTGAACCCAGGAGGCAGAGGTTGCAGTGAGCCGAGATTACGCCATTGCACTCCAGCCTGGGTGACAGAGCGAGACTCTGTCTCAAAACATAATAAAAATATAAATAAATAAATAAATAAATAAATATATATATATATATATATATATATATATATATATATATATATAAAACATACCATTAATACAGGAAATAAAAATGTGTTCAGGGTGACTAACCAGCATAGTGTCATCCCCAGAGTACCTGCATCAGCTGTTAGACAACAGCGACAACAGGCAATGGCAGACTTTCAGTCTCCACCTACAACGCTGGGTTTTAGTAAAAAGGTTACCGTACACCGAATTTTGGTTTTAGGTGAGAAGAAACATCAGAAGCAGTTTAGGAATGAGGAAGCATTCTGCTGGGTGGCGTTTTAAATTTTTCCTGCAGAGTCACTGGTCTTATTAACAATGGTTTTTGTCTTAGACATCTCTGACTTTATAAACTGACATGATTTCTTGTTCTGTTTTGAATGCTTGCTGCTCTAGCCCTTCACTAAGCCCATGACACTTTTTCACCACGTTGTCTATAGGCACATTTTCTGCAGTGTAAACGATGTCATCTTCATCATCGCTATTATCACAATCACCTTGATTCAGAACCATTTAGGCTATTTTACCACCAACCAATGAACAAACAACTGGAGCCTCATTGTCGAGGTTAAAAACTTCTTTGGTGTAATCCCAGCATTTTGGGAGGCTGAGGCAGGTGGATCACGAGGTCAGGAGTTCAAGACTAGCCTGGCGAAGGTGGTGAAACCCTGTCTCTACTAGAAATACAAAAAAGTAGCCAGGCATGGTGACGGGCACCTGTAATCCCAGCTACTCGAGAGGGTGAGGCAGAAGAATCTCAGGAACCCAGGAGGCAGAAGGTGCAGTGAGCCAAGATCATGCCACCGCACTCCGGCCTGGGTGACAGAGCGAGACTCCGTCTCAAAAAAAAAAAAAAAAAAAAAAACTTCTTTGGTATCCACTTCTTCCAGATTACTAATGCACTCTGAAGGTATATTTGCTTACATAAGAAGGTAAGACATTGTTTTTTTCTTACTTGAAATGCAGAATCCTTCAAAGCTACCACATTGTTCATCATAACCAAACATAGTCTCAGATCAGAGGTTGTCCAAGGCATATACAACTATGTCTTCAGTCGTGCTCTAAGTGTTGCAACACCATATATGGCATCTTTCATGCTAAACTGTTTGAAAACCTTTTATGCCCGTGCCTCTGTTCCCTGTTGTTAGTATGCTGTTCAAGAAAGTGTCTTCTATATTTACTGTTCATTGATCTGAGAGTACCCTGGTCACATGGCTGAATTAATGAAGTCACATTTGGGGAAAAGTACATAAGTATTTTTGATGAGAGTATCAGCTAGAGGATGAGAACAGTTGTCAAGTAATAACAGAATATAGCAGTCATTATCCAGTCCAGCTTCCCAGCAGTAAGCACAAGCTGCTAGTACATAATGTTTGTGAAAACAGTAAGAAAAGATATCCGGCCAAGTTTGGTGGCTCATACCTGTAATCCCAGCATTTTGAGGGCGAAGGTGGTAGGATCACCTGAGTACAGGAGTTCAAGACCAACCTGTGCAACATAGTGAGACCCCATTCTCTACAAAAAAAATTATCCAGGTATAGTAGCATGTACCTATAGTACCAGCCATTCAGGAGGCTGAGGCAGGAAAATTACTTGAGCCTGAGAGTTTGCGGCTCCAGTGAGCTGTGATCACACCACTGCACTTCAGCCTAGGCAACACAGTGAAACCCTGTCTCAAAGAAAAATAAAAATAAAAGATGTCCTTGGTGATCCATATCTTTTGTCAGAACAATAATGGACTGGTAGAAATTCACTCCATGGAAACAGGAAAGATGCAAGCTTTTGCCCATCACAGCAATTTACACTTAGGCATGCCTGCCTGCTGCATTAGCACATCTCAGCAGTAAAGCTGTCCTTGGCATCCTTAATTCCTGTAGGGGATGTCTCATCAGCTGTAGTCGGTGGCTTTCTGTGGCAATAACACCAAAACAGTGATGCTTCATTGCATTATAAACTTGCTCTGGCACCATATTTTCATCAGTGGCAAACTCATCCATGAGGTTTTCTACCGTTTCATAATTAGTACATGCTTTATCACCACAAGTCTTAAAAAATAGAATATCATGTCTTTTCTTTAAATTTCTGCAGTCAGTTTGCTGAATACTCACGGTTCCCTTCAATCTTGAGTTCCTTGTTATAGATCTTTGCTTGTTTCATGATCAGTATACAATTAAGTGCCATGTATTCACTGCAATGCTGATGGATCTACTCTTGACACACAATGGAGATCTTTGTTTTTGGCTTTATGCAATGTTGCTCTATTTTTCATTGATTTCTCTAAATCACTTTCAGCATAAAACTATAAAACTGTGTACTTCTGTTTCCTCAAGTCATACAGAGTGGTCATTCCAACACCATACTCTCCTATGAGGTGTTTTACACTTATACCACTGTCTGATTTCTCCTACAGCTTGACTTTCTGTACTATACATCATCATAAATGCTTCCTCTTATCATCATGACCCATATGGATATTTGTAGACATTTTCAAAAATGTTTTTACACCACAAAGAAGAGAATAAGCAAAAAAAAAAAACAAAAACCCACAATGAGTAATGTGCATAGGCCTTGGCCCCATGTGGATCATCATTGTGAACCTACCATTGGCATGTCCAGCCTGCACACATACCATTTTATTACACTTCTGGGGCATGTTTGCATGGGGGAATCTGGGCATGCACAGAAAAAATATATCATAGCTGAAGGGGACTGAGAGGGCCTTTTTTCCCTTAAGAATGCTGAATCAATTGTGTGATATGCACCTGTGTTTTGACTACGACCCATCACGTCAGGTCAGGTGTGAAACTTGCCACTTGTGACATAATGTCAGTGCTCACAAACTTTCAGATTTTAGACCATTTCGAATTTTGAATTTTCAGATTAGAGGTACTCAACCTCTAATTCTATATAAGAATTATTGTTTCCCCAATAATATTATTCTTTGGGAGATATTATTGGAATAGTATTGTTTCCCAAATTTTTAGCATCATGTGTTTACATGATGCTAAAAAAATTCTTTTTTCCACTAAGGTGACTATATTGATTATTGATGTGTTATTTTTATTTACATATGGTCCAAGTCATCTTTGTGTGAAATTTACATGATCATAGAAACAGCATATCTACATACTTTGTCCATTATAATTATGCTCCCAGAACAAGAACTTCCCTAAATTTGGAAATCAGAGTCAGCAATCAATCGTTGCATTCAGGAAAAATTTCTCAGCTCATCATTTTACCTAAGAATCTGTTAGTCTGAAGTGATACCTTCTGCTAGTTCTTTCCTGGATCCTGTTTTTGTTTTTTTTTTGTTTTGTTTTTGTTTTTTTTGTCATTGAATCTTCAAAAAGACTGCAGTTTCATTAGACCTTCTGAGAAAGAGGTCTTGAAAACATGCTCTGCATACATGTGACTGTGGGAATCATAATGAGAGGATAAATAGAGTATCTTTAAAATACAAATCCATAGGTGAGTGCTTTTATGTGTTATCCCAGTAAGTCTGTGCAACTTTTCTAAATCATAGTCATCATTAGGCTATTTTCAAGATGACAAACTCACTAATCAGAGATTAAGTAATTTTCCTCAGGTCTCAAATGTATTAAGTAGCCAGAACTATGGTATTCACAGCCTGTAGTCTTTTGGCTATTCTATAGCCCTGCTCATTAAGTCAGAAGGCTGGGGAGAACGCTACATTGGCCACGAAGATGGCCTTTAGGATTTGGGAAGCATTTTCTAATACCTCCGCAACAACTAGATGTCTTTTGTACTACCCGTAACGTGGGACATACAGGAAGTTTCTCTGTTTGGCGAACAGCTGATTTCAAAATGGATTTCATTAATTACTCACACCAAGGAGCACAGGGTTGTGGCACAGCAAACTCTACCTCCTGAGAAAATGCCTCAGTCCAACCCTCGAGCTGAAAATGTCAAAGAGATCTCAACTGCCAGCACTAATAGCAGATCCAGGCTACACAGTAGGGTAAACAGGTGACAGGCACAAAAATGAAGGAGGAAATTAGCAGAAGCCCATCATTTCAGAGAAAGTATGTAAACATGTACATAATACCAGTAATCCTTTTAAATGCATGATCACTTAATTTTATCATGATTGAGAAGTAATCACTTTGAAGACATTGATGCTTGCCTTCCTGAAATCCTGCAGTGCATGCAGTTATAATACAAATATAGGTTTACAATATTTACTGTCTTGAGAAATAGTAAATGGTACAGGAAAAATGAAGAATCTAAAAACAGACAAACTTGATCTGTCTTGGTGCTTCCATGTACTTGCTGTAAGACCTTGAATGAGCTACTCCACCTTTCTGGGCTTTATTTGCTTCACCTGAATCAAGGTTATAGTTATAAAAGTAATACTTATTTTTTCCTATGTGTCAGAAGCTCCTTTAGATGTTTTACATGGATGAATTCATGTAATGATCACAATAACCTTATAAACCAGACCCAATTATTATTTTTATGAGTACCAGAGTCCAGATCCAAATATAAGCTTTTGTTGCCTTCAAAGACCAGCTCTTACACTGACTATCTAAATGCCTATAACCTTTGGGGTTTGTAATCATTAAGATAATATATTTAAATGCCTATTAATAATCAATAAAGGTGAGTTTCTTTTGATAAAAGAAAATCATGGATGCCTTCCCCGGCCCCTTACTCCCACTTTATTCCATACTCAAAGAGTAATCTTGCTGTTGATTAATTAATTTTAAGGGTACTGATTGATCTTCAGTTTCTAAGGGCAGGACCATAATGGAGTATATATAAATAACTCTATTTTAGGGGAAAATTACACTTTATCTTGCTGATTGAAATACTCTTCAGTAGCACTGTTTACATTGGAGAAATTGAATGAAGAGAATATTTTCATTTCTATATATCATTTTGGTATACTGTGCCTCGTGATGCAGTGAAGAATTAAAATGAAAACCAAAATAATCTACAAACATTCAGTTCATAATGGTATTTCTTTAGTAAGCTCTGGTAAGACTTGCCCTGGTTCTTTACACTAATACACGGAGAGATATGGATAGATGAAACTCATAAGAACAACAATAAAACAGAAGGCTGATCATTCTCATTGGAGGATAATAATAAATCACTGGTGTGGCATCAAATTTGCAATACTCTCAGAAAAAGCTGAAAGATCAAAAGGTTAAAAAACATGAGAAAATGGTAGAAATATAGGAATGCTCAGTGATCCAAAATACCAATGCCCCTAAAGAATATACAGTCGATTCTTATTATTTGTGGTACTTATATTCTTTAAAGTGGCTATGAACCACTGAATAATAAACCAGTACTCCTCAGTAAAACACATGGTTAGGTTTCTGCCCTGTGAACCTCTGGTCACAACGTCTTCACCAACCCATCAGTACATAATTTTGTTTTATGTGTGTCTTTGTTTAAAGACATTTTATTCACTATATAATTTTTATTAACATTGAGCTCACAGCCAACAGCATTACAACTCATGTCTGGAAAAAGAAAAAATTTTCTCTAAGATGCACAATTCCTCCATTAATCATCTTGCAGTCTTCCTGCACTTGGGAACACCAGACATACTTGAGTATAATGTTTGGAAACCATTTTAAATGGAGAAATTACCAAGGAAAAGCACAAAAATTAAAAAAAAAATGTGGCACTAAATATACTGAAAAAAAACTGGAAGTTTTCCCTGGTAAGCACATGTGCACGTCTGCAAATGACCATGAAAGCATTGCAAGTATTATTTGGGGATTACGAGTAAATTTTATCAAGTAAGAAAATTCACAAATACATAGTGTATGAGTAATGAAGATTGGCTGTATAAGAATGTATTACATTCTAAGTAACAGAGCTATAATACAGCGACATTTATTCAAGTAAAGCACTTCGGTATGAAATTCAGAAAGCTTGTCACATCCCAGTGAAATCAAAGACAACATGGACTGTTTCACACTTTCTGGCAAAATATCTGAGCTACAGTCTTATAAGAAGTACAAAAACAAACAAAACACTAAGAAAAAATATTCCCAAAAGAATAATGGGTAAAGGACATAAAGTGTTCAAATGGAGAAAAAATAAGTAGAAGTAGGAATAAAGTGATTCAAACTCAATAATAATCAGAAAATACAAATGTGTTGCTCACAAAATTATCAACACAAATATTAATACCAAATGTCAGCAAGGCTGTGGAGAAGTAAGTATCACATAAATTTTTTGGCTGGGACATCAATAAGAACAATTTTGATGGGAAACTTAAGAATGTGAAAAAACAAAAAAGCCTTTTGAGCTAACCATATTTCTTGTAGAAATAGAGCCATTAATGAACATAAATGTACTATTATATTCATCAAATTTTTTTTATAATAAGAAATTTGAAATTCCATGAATGCCCAACATTGAATTAGAATACATTGGAAGGTGGAATATTACTTAACTATTTAAAATTATTGTAGAGGATTCATATATATCTTTAATCCAAATGCACTGCAATTATACATAGCAAAACCATGAATATACTTATGTGCAATGCAAGAATATTTATACACATATAAACACATACCAGTATTACCAAAGATAATTATGCATATAAATATTGCTGCACATCATGGATATACATGTACATATTAATATCCACAGACACGTATCAAAATGTTAACAGAAATTATTTCTAAAATTTGGGTAACAAGTGGTTTTTACTTTCTTCTTAATGTTTTACTGAATTTTCTAAATGTTTTAATGTATATATATTTAATGTATCTAAATGTTTTAATGTATCGCTTTCCATAATTCAAGAGGAGATGTAATTTTAAAAAGGTGAGTAATAAATAAAAATTATTTGGATTTAAGAAGAAAATTTAACGGGTATGACACTGCCCAAACTTTAGCCTGCTGCTTAAGATCATCAACTTTGTTTTTATTTCTTCCTCCACCTTCCTTGGTTGCTCTTAAAAACAGTGCCAAGCCCAACTCTTCCAATAGGAAGTTCAAATATTGAACCATTCTCAAGCCATTCAGCTTTGCCAATGTTCTGCCGAAAATGGTACCTACCAGAGGTACTGTGTTCATACCTGCTCAAGGTATTTTAAGACATCAAATAAATTGTGTCTTGTGAAATTATAATTGGCATGAAATAAGCCACACCTGCACCATCTACAAATATGGTCAAATCCAAATTCAGTAGCTTATGCTCAAGTCTGTGAGGGGCATGGCATAGGATGGTGCATCCCTGAGAGTCAACAGGGAACAGCTGCATTAGGAAAAGGGGGAGGGTGTGCAGTCATCCTTGGTCGGAGGATTATATCTATGCCCATCAGATTTAAACACACACACACACACACACACAGTCTTATGAGACTGACCAAGAAAATGGAACAGTAATGTAAAAAGGCTTTCAGTAATTGACAATTATACCTTCAAAGAGAGTTGTGTAAAAAATGAAAAAAAAAAATTGAACTTGAATTCCCAAACTGCACCCATCGGCAATAAGGACTTATAAGTGTGTACGTGTGTGTGACTAAATCTTAATTTTCCTATAGAAGAGCAATACACACTATGGGAGTGTGACTGGACACTTGTCCCTGGGAAGTCACAGAGGTTAAAAAAAAAAAAAAAAAAAAAAAAGCAGCTCTGTTTCTGCTGGAAGAGCAAAGAAGGAAGAGGCTAATAGCCAGGGAAATAGGCCAGACTGTGGATTTTAAACCCAAAAAAAGCACAAACACAAGTCACCCTGAAAATAGCGCTGGCTGGACAAATGGTGGACTGGAAGAGCCTTTTGAGAGAGAAATTGCTGAGAACATTTTAATTCTCTTCACCAGTTTGCCTTCTTCCATGATTGTAAAAACCACAACAAAAGGAGAAAGGCCACTGTGGGACAAACTGCTGCAAAGGTCGTTACCCACTGGATGGCAGTTGTGCTACTGAACATACAGTGGCCTTCCTCTATCATCCTTCCCGGGCCAAATGAGGTACCCCTGCCATCTAACTCTAGAGTTCAAGTTGTCATAACCCAAAGACCCCTTGGTTGTTCTGTTGTGAAAATGAGCAGATGCTCCTGCCTACTGTCCTGTGCGTGACATAGCTATGTTCACTAACCCAGGGGCATAAAAACCTAAACCACTCCTCAGTCCTGGTTCAGGAGGTCCTGGGGTCTGGCCTAAGGAGCCACTTGTTCCTGATGACTGGTCCACTTTGAACAGTTCTCTGTGCCCATTTGATTCAGCATGATGCTGTGACTTTTCATCAGTCTATTCCCCTATAGGTTCGTTACTTATTCTGTAGAAATATAAATTTAAAAAAATGCCCGTAAGAAGGACAAAGTGAGCCTGAGTCCATAGAAGAAAGTCTTCCGACCACTGTATACCAATAATCTCTGATACAAGGAGGAAGGAAATGCACATTTTATATCAGCTTTATATTAGGATATAGAGTACTTATCAAGAAGACATGAAACTTTTAATCCAAAGTGGATGAAAACTCTTCTCTAAAACAATAGAGAAAGAGAAATTAATGAAATGCAAAACTCCTTAATCATTCTAAGCTCGAACCTATTATTTTCATTTGGACATTCTTAAATCAACTTCCTCACTTCCTCACGAAATCAAGTTTTCGCACTGGAGAGGGTAGCGTACTGCTATTTGGAGGTAGGGGGTGGAATTCATTTGTAAGTAATCATATAGCATTACAAAGATAAATAATGCATTTATCAGCAAGAGATAAGCATACCACAGGGAAAAAAAGTAGAGCTAGCCATTTTCTTGGGATTATTCAGAGTGTAGGTTATACCATGTCACCCAGAGTAGATACTACCATTCGAATGCGTGTCACATCCATTATGGAATGATGCAGGAAGGCTTAGTTTCCTCTTCAATTTACTGTTCTAGTGGTTATGTTAGAAAGTTGCAATTTGGCCTTCTATGAGTTTTTATTATATTAACAAAAGTAATGTTATTAATTACTACAAATTTATTAATAATTTTATAAAGTTACTTTAATAAAAATAAATACATGAATTTATTATAAATTTACTGGTTATTATAAAATTAAATATAATTTATTATATTTTTATTGAATTTATTAAAGAGGCATTATGTTCTCACCAGGGATTTGGGTTAGACAGTTTTTCACATCCCAAGCCACCTTTGCATTTTTCATAGACATGACATCCACGTGGAAGAGACTTGGCATTCTCAACAATGCTTTCAATTGCTAATTCAATTGTTTTTCAATGGCATGCCTGCTACACTGCCCAAAGTTTGAAAAAAAAATCATATATTAAGCAGTTTTCAGAATATTGATTTTTCCAACTAACTTCTTTGGGGAAAATAGATGTCTTCAAATTATTGCCTTACCCTTTCCCATACATGCCCTTGTCCAGGCATTATCACCTTCATGATTAATTCACAGCAACAGATCTTTCTGTGACTCTCTCCCAGCTAGCAGTGTCATGACTGCTTTGCAGAGGGGCACAGTGAATTAAGCAGGTGTGCACTTGTGGCTGTGTGACAGGCAATAGTAAGTCTATGAGTTCACATGCTGATTCATGAATAATCATGTTTCACTAGCTAACATACACAAAAAATTACAATTTTATATATGTATGATGAAATAGGGATTGGGGAGGGCACATTGTAAAATGAGGAAAGATTCTATCCCTACCCTTTCTTATACTCTTATGCTCACTTGATAATTTCTCTTAAAACAATTTAATTCATGTGGATTTCTAAACAACAGCCCATGGCATTTGTAATAACAAATCCAAATCCTTAGCCAGGCTTAGTGGCTCACACCTGAAATCCCAGCATTTTGGGAGGTCTAGGCAGGCGGATCACTTGAGGCCAGGAGTTTGAGACCAGCCTGAGCAACATGTCAAAACCCTGTCTCTACAAAAATACAAAAATTAGCCAGGCGTGGCGGCACATGCCTATAATCCCAGCTACTCTGGAGGCTGAGGCAGGAGAATCTCTTGAGCCTAGGAGGCAGAGGTTGCAGTGAGTCAGGATCACTCCCCTGCACTCCAGGCTGGGCAACAGAGCAAGACTCCATCTTTAAAAAGAAAAAAAAAAGATAAAAGAAAGAAAAAAATTCTTTTTATTTATTTTATTTTATTTTATTATTATTATACTTTAAGTTTTACGGTACATGGGCTTTGTAGGGACATGGATGAAGCTGGAAACCATCATTCTTAGCAAACTATCGCAAGGACAAAAAACCAAACACTGCATGTTCTCACTCATAGGTGGGAAAAAAATTCTTTTAACCTGCTAAGTTGTACTACTTTTTAATTTACTTAGCAAATATTTTAATTTGCTTAGCTATAGTATAGCAGGAAAAAAATAATTTTAAGCTACCACTCACAATCTGATCTTTCCAACTAAATTATTTCAGTTTTTGCTTATTTTCTTCTAGTCTTGTACCAATTTATGCTATATATTAATATATACATACACATGTACAGTTTTAACAGCCAGTGAAATATGTACACTGTTAAATACCTATATAATTTATATGCAAATACATGTTTATTATGGACATACACATATGTACTTTATACTGCTTGTTAGAAACAAAGATTACTGTGTTCATTTAGTATTGAAACATAGCTATCAATCAATGATTTCCCTCATTGCCATAATCGCAATTGTCACTCATCTTGGCTTAATCACCCAAATTTTCTTAACTTCAATTTCCTTTTTGAGGGAAAAAATTATACAAATACTATTGCCCGACTTACTTCACTGGAATATCAGAAGTCCTTTAAAGAGTCAGTGGGAAAATGCACTGCAAAGACATAAAGCTTTGAAATGCAAGGTGCTGTGGTCATTGTCACAACTGCCTTTTACCACTCCTGTCCAGGTGAGAAGCTTCCTCTGTAGGTGAGACACTGCTGCTGCCCTTACGTTCTGTCAAGCCATCTCTTTTACCTGGAGATGCAACTGGCAATTCAAACTCTACCAGGAAGCTTTTAAAAGTGCATTCCACTCTACACTGTCTATAGCTTTAGAGTCTATTCTCTCAGTGCCTTTGTGTTTGGAGGAAGAGCCTGAAGAAAAAGGCTAAGTTCTCATTTTTCATAGTGAAAAGCTAAAATACAATGCCTGAAACAAAAAAAAATAAAAATAAAAAATCAGGAATTAACATCATAAAATGTGTTATTTAGGACATACATGGAAATACCAAGAGAAAAAGCTAAAAGAATGGAAAGCAGCTGCCTATAAGGAGTGGGTGCTGGAAATAGTGGCAGAAGAAACGTGGTTTTCATAATAACCTTTGTAGAACTATTCAACCCCTTAACCTATGTGTATACATATCTTTTAGAACAATGCAAACTTTTTATAAAGTTTACATTGGAAAAAGGTTTACAAAATGCCTTGCATGATGCCTGTTACACGGTACGTGCTTAATATTTTATCATATGTCTTATGGGAGAGACAGAGCTGCTTGTTTTTTCCCCCCTCAAAAGAAGCCTGTGCTCTGATTCTCAATTACTCTCATTGCCTAATGATCGATTTGAGCTTCCTGATCATGGCCTGTGTCCTCCTAACCTAATCTCCTCAGTTAATTTTTACATACTAATCAGAAGGAGGCAACCGCTCCAACTTCTCTTAGTGACAATGCCCTGGAGTCCCATTATACTATTGCTTTCACAACTCTCCATGGTTCAGTGAGTTGCTGAATTTGTATCTCCAAGCTTGAATTCTGCTGAAAGCTCCAGACTTACGTAGCATTGCACTCTGTGACTCTGCTGGGAAACTTAAACTCGATATGAAGTCTACATGAAATAAAAACTTAAATAGACTTTTAAGACCTGTAGCTCAGCTTTAAGGTCTTCCATCAAAACTTCCTTCCTCTGTGGAACTGAGTTGGTAAATGGCTTCATGATCCACCCAGCTAGTGTTCAATCTGTAAATCTGAGACTCGACTATGAGTCTCAACTTTCTGCCTCACTTCTAACATCCAATTCAGAATCAAGTCATGCAGATCCTGACTGTAAAATATATCTCAAAATTGCACACTGTTCTTCACCACCTCTATGACCACATTAGTCCACCTCAATACCATCACTTGCTAGAATGATTACAAGAGCTTGCTAATTACTGTCCTTGCTTGCAAACTTTGCTCTTCAGTGGTTTCCCACACAGCAGGCAAAGTGATCTTTGTAAATACAATCTGGCCAGGCTATTCTCTTGATTTAAACCCTTTAATGGATTCCCACTGTGCTTAGGTCCAGGAGAGCTTTATTATCTGGGAACTATTTCTCTTTCTCTTGAACCATTCTCCCTCAAGCTATCTCCTGCATACTGGCCTCATTTCAGCTTTTCAAGGACACCCAGCCGTTTCCATTTCAGGGACTTTTCACAGAGACTACCACTGCCTGAACACTTGTCTATGATCTAGGCAGTTGAACACCTCCCACTTACACTACGTTCCAGTTCAAATGTCCTTTCTTAAATAGCCTTCTTTTTGGATGCATTAATATTAACATTTATCACAATTTTTATCTTTATATTTATGTATGTGAACATCTGTTGGTTGACTCCCCTTCCAAACTATGTTCTGGGAAGTCAAGGACCATGTCTGTTTTGCTAGCCACTTGACCTCAGGACTGGCTCATTGTAGGTGCTCAAACACTATTCTAAAGCATCTTCCACTAATGGTCAATTCATTTTAAAAGTATCAAGTTAAACAGACTGCAAGGAACTAGCCCAGGGACAATCTATGGGGCTCTTGCTGGCAAAAGGCCCTTTAAAAATGGCTCTTTTCACCCAGCCTTCCAAGTTCCACAGGTCAAGGACACAGCAGGATTCTTGATGACTTATACAAACTCAGCTCAGGAGAGCCAGACCTCCTTCTTCCCTTGGCTCCACATGCAAATAATATGAACATTTTCTTATTAAAAAGGAAAAGAGCATCTAAGCTATTTTATTCTGAGTATTTGTTCAGTAAGGAGAAGTTTACACAGCTTGTGGAGAATTATTCAGCAGGAAATTAAATCTCTGTAATTCTGAATTTTCACTTTGCTTTTAATTGGCAAAGCTTCCTGGCAAACCACTCTCCCCTCTAGAACATTTGTTAATACCACATCCGCCATCAAAATGTGCTTTCAGAGCCAAATTACAAAACAGGTTAAACAAGATGACTCTCTGGAGGTCTGAGATACTAGGTCCTCGATAGGCTATGAACATACCACCAGGGCATGCAGATATGGGCAGCAATTAAGTTTTGCATAGTAATTTGAAGCTTACAAAGTACTCAAACAAGATAACGGATTAACAAAGAAAAAAATTATCTTACATTATCTATGTAAATATTTCATTTCAGCCACCCAACAATTTTATGAGACTGATCTTGGAACTATATTTACCAAGAAGGCAACTGAGTGGCTTAGAGAGGCTGAAATGACTTGTCCAAGGTCACACAACTAATGCCCCACAGGCAGAACTTGAAATTAAAGCTTTTAACAGATTTTTGTATTATCTCATGCTACTTCTCTTCTGCTGAATCTGAGTATTTTGCCATTTCATTTAGGACAGAGAATTGACTTCACCTAGAAACAAATAGTTACAATAAAAAGTGAATTTGTATTTTCAACAAACAACCAACTTGATCCTTTACTTACTAAGGAAAGCCAGGTTGATTTTATCCTTTTACTTTGCTCCATTTAACAAGGAAGGGGCAATGATTTTTACCTCCACTGGACCAGAAGTCTTTAGAGGATTTTTGTACAGAGAATATGAGAAAATTGGACAGTAACTTACCTTATTTTGCTGTATCTATGGCTCCATGAATTGTTACACTCATCAGTATGTCTATGCATTTAGAAAGAAGAAAAAATATTCTGGCGATTAAACCGGGATAGCCAATGGTAACATGAATCCGAATTTCAAGAATCTTTACATATTTTTAAATGTACATTTAGAATCTATTAAATACACAAGGTAACTCAGATCAGTATGACAGGGAACGTATTGTCTCTCATATATATCTTTAGAAACTCATTCCTTTTTTCTGTTTTTCTGCTAATTTAGACCTCATCATCTTCTTCTGGAACATTAATATGCAAAACCTATTGCTTTTCCTATCTCACTTCTTCTCCCTCCAGTCCATCCTTCGTATTGCCATTAGAAAAACTTTTTAAAAATACAGCTCTGACGGTGACTTCCTCACATTAAAGACTTTCATTGATTTCCTACATCCAGGGTGAAATTCTCACTTCAATTGTCATCCCAGGCACTTTACAACTGGGTCCCAAACTTCCTGTCTCTACTCACCTCATAGTGTATATTTTATCCATAGAGCATACTTTGCTTCTCACTATTCTCCAAGAGTGTGTCCTATCACACCATACATACAGAAGTGAACATTCTGTTTTCTCTCTCAGCAAAGCTATTATTCTCCATCTTTGTTGGTAAACTCTTTTACATCCTTAAAGACCAAGATCAAGTGGAATATCTTTTTTATGAAGCATTCCCCACTCCCAGGCAGCCAGGAGGATTGGAGGGGAGATCCAGCAGCAACTTAGCTCAAATCATTCCTACAGATGTTGAGAGAGAGGCCCAGACAAGCGGAGTGTTTTGCCCAACATTATACAACAAGCTAATGACAATGTTCGGACAAGAATCTATGACTTCTCACCCCAGGTTCACTTTTTCTTGCACTTAAATGAATGTAAATAAAAGAACAGAGTGAAGGTAAAACTCAAGACCATCCCTGGCCATCAGATCTCCACAGTTACTTCCAACAGGTCTACCAGGGACTACCTAGACCACAAGGAGGCAAACTGATGTTCTGACAAGGCAGTCACAGTTGGATTCAGACCTCTGTGCCGTTGGGTTACTTCACCCCCCAGAATAATAATCCCCGCCTCATAAAACATTGTGAGGATGAAATGAAATTTGTGTATTTCAATGCCTATCACTGTGCCTAGCATAAATAAAACTCAATAAATGTCACCTCCTTTACCCACTTCATACTAGATTAGGTCAAAATATGGCTGTTTCAAGGTTAAACTCATTGTCAAACCACCAATGTGGTCAAGCAGCATTTTATTTAATACATTTGTAAAAACACACAGCTTTGGTGTAAGTTCGGCAGTGAGGATAATACCACGCTGTTTATATAACACACACATGTGTTCACTTTGAGAATGGGGTGAATGGCATTACCACCAAAGTCATAGCATTTGGGTATTGACCCCCAGCAGGAAAATGGATCAATTAGGCAAGCAGAAGGAAGCAAACAAGTCTACAACTATAAATGTCAGCACACACACACCCAGAATTAGGGAGTGAGATCAAAGGCAGATTGTAGCTACCCAGGAGAGACACCAAGAAGATTCGCATTGGAGCAGCAAGATCCAGGCACCCAGAAGACCTTTTCAGAACTTCCAACCATATCTGGAGAGAAATCAAAGGCTGAATCCTTGGCTATTGCATTTCAAAATAAATAAAGACTCCTCTACTTCCTTCACAAAATATCAGCCAAGCTAAATTTATGCTCTAGAATATTACCCTGGGAGCTGTCCCTGGAAGAAATCATTTTAACCCTAATACTGCTCTTTGTTTTGAATCCAAGTCTTCTGCCTTTGCCCACACAGCCATTAGCAGACAAATTAGAAAAGCATCCAATCAAAAAATATTTACTGAGCAAAAGGGTGTAAAGTGCTGTACTAGAGGAAGTGCCAGTACCGAGATATTATTGAAACATCTCCCTTCGAGTATTCTAAACTTACTTTGTTACTAGTCCCTTCTGTAGGGTTAAGCATTTCCTTTTTCTGGAGGTCATCCTTTAAGTGTCAAAACCCTTGATGTGAGGATAACATGTTAGATTGACAACACCTTTCCAGAGAGGCAGGACTACTGACATCTGAGAGCATTCGACTGGGAAGAGGCCTTGAAATGTACTGAGAAACAAAGGTAGAAAGAGAACCAAGAAATCAGACTTACTCCTTCATTGTAGTTAAATATTGTGTGATATGGAGCTAAATTTGCAATAGACTTACTACGTGCTACCTTCTATTAACCAGCTGTGGCTTTCTGAAGCTTTGTGCTAAGGATTCTAAGCCCCTTTCTGGACGTCGGCTGACAGATGAGGGGCAGCATACATCATGTGTATTTTCTAACCTTTCTACAGGGGAAGAGTCCAGCATTTGGAGTCAGAATCTGGGCTCTGCCACTTGCAAGTTGCAAGTTCTATCGTGCTATGAGCATCACTGCACCTCAATGACATTTGGTTTTCTCATCTACAAAACAAATGACAATAAAATTATTATAATTGGGTATAGTACAGTGGCGACAAATTTAGCATCTAGCTAAATTAAGTAGAAA